>NC_000001.11:203336102-203487617 GCF_000001405.40 Homo sapiens
CTGGGCATGGTCTGCTTGGTCCTTTTGTCCATTCCAGTCTTTCTGGACTCATTTCCCCCTTCTTCTGCTCCCTGGACCACACGGTCCAGGAAAGGATTAGGTCCAGTTTATTGTGCCATTTCATGCAGCACATATGAGCATGGCCTAGTTTCCAGAAAAGTTTCCTACTCTGGAAACCTGGGCTGCTACAAGATTGAGCAATGTGTTTGCTCCATCTGGGCACAACTTTCTAGCCTAGGTACCCAGAGGCTCAGCTGGCAACAGGAGTCATGTCTACTAGCTCCCATCTGTCTGAGGCAGAAGAATTTCTGGGAGAGTTTGAGGTCTACACAGGATACTGAGTCTCCTGATGATATACATCAACTGTGGACCCTGCATCTGAGTGCTTAGTAGAATAAATGGCTGAGCTAGCAAACAAAGCTAACAAAGAAGTGCATTGCAAGCCCCCAGTGAGAGGGAGCTTGGGGCTGTTCTGCAGCATTCCTGGCTACCCTGCCCCTCATCATTCCCCACCCTTGGAAAAAAAAAATGAACATTTTGTCCCTATGCCTTAATTGGCACTTATAGCAAACTACCTCATGGGTTCTTGAATGAACTAGGTGTCTTTTAAGTTGTTAAGGTAAAACAAATGTTAGTTATTATTATTTCTATCACATGCCATGGCAAGAACCTTGAGAACTTTACATTCAACTTTCACATACTAAATGCAGCAACTACTGACACATTATCTAGCTCAAGGTTTGCATTCAGTAAAAATTTGTTGAGTGATTAAGCTATGTTCATAGAGAGAAAAGACGATGATTTGCCTATTTTTCTTGCCTTCCCTCTATGATCCATGTTTCTGCTTGTCTTTCCTTGGCTTGACTTAGAGAGAAATGGGAAATCCTATCTTTGTTTTTCATACATCTAACAGAAATGTAGCATTCCTTTCAATTATGAAGGTAACAAACCACAGCCTTATTAGCAGTACCTGAGGCTTTGTCACCAGCTGAAATCACATATATTTTTATTTATTTTTTATTTTTTGAGATGAAGTCTCGCTGTTGCCCAGGCTGGAGTACAGTGGCTCTATCTTGGCTCACTGCAGCCTCCGCCTCCCAGGTTCAAGCAATTCTCCTGCCTCAGCCTCCTGAGTAGCTGGGACTACAGGCATGCGCCACCATGTCCAGCTAATCTTTGTATTTTTAGTGGAGACAGGGTTTTATCATGTTGGCCAGGCTGGTCTTGAACTCTTGACCTCAAGTGATCCATCCGCCTGAGCCTCCCAAAGTGTTGGAATTACAGGTGTGAGCCAGAGCACCCGGCCCACAGATTTTTTTTTTTTTTTTGAGACGGAGTCTTGCTGTGTTGCCCAGGCTGGAGTGCAGACCGCTCACTGCAAGCTCCGCCTCCCGGGTTCACGCCATTCTCCTGCCTCAGCCTCCCGAGTAGCTGGGCCTACAGGCACCCACCACCACGCCCAGCTATTTTTTTTGTATTTTTTAGTAGAGACGGGGTTTCACCGTGTTAGCCAGGATGTTCTCTATTTCCTGACCTCGTGATCCGCCCGCTTCGGCCTCCCAAAGTGCTGTGATTACAGGCATGAGCCACCGCGCCCGGCCAGCCACCGCGCCCGGCCAAGATATTTTTATATCACATTACAGTTGTTAAAATAGTTTGATATGCCATTTACATGCATCAATAGTTTGAAATGACTATAATTAACTAGACCTGTTGCTAAATCTTGTTATTCATCGACTTAATAAAGAAACATATATATTATTATATCAAAAATGTATATGTTTTATATTTTGGTAACTGTACTTCAATGTAATTAGTTTCCTTTGTAATCCTTTACAAAGTCTTTGTAAGCCTAGGCATGTGGCCTAGGCGGGCAGATCGCTTATGTCCAGGAGTCGGAGACCAGCTTGGGCGACATGATGAAACCCCATCTCTACAAAAAAGCCAAAAGTTAGGTATGGTGGTACATGCCTGCAGTCCCAGCTACTTGGGAGGCTGAGGCAGGCAGGAGGGTTGTTTGAACCCAGGAGGTGGAGGTTGCAATGACCTGAGATCGCGCCACTGCACTCCAGCCTGGGTGAGAGTGAGACCCTGTTTCAAAAAAAAAAAAAAAAAAAAGGCCGGGAGTGGTGGATCACGCCTGTAATTCCAGCACTTTAGGAGGTCGAGGTGGGCGGATCATGAGGTCAGGAGTTCGAGACCAGCCTGACCAACATAGTGAAACACTGTCTCTACTAAAAATATAAAAATTAGCCGGGCGTGGTGGCGCACACCTGTAATCCCAGCTACTCAGGAGGCTGAGACAGGAGAATCGCTTGAACCCGGGAGGCGGAGGTTGCAGTGAGCCGAGATTGTGGCACTGCACTCCAGCCTGGGCGACAGAGCGAGATTCCTTCTCAAAAAAAAAAAAAAAAAAAAAAAGGAAGTTGGGAAAAAGTGGGCTAAGTGGGCTGCGATTTAAAGGTTTCAGAAAAGGCTGGTGGTGCGAGATGAGATGCTGCCCACTAGTGGCTAGAAGGCAGAACTGTGAGCCTGCATGTAAGGCAGGCCCTGGGACATGGGGTTTGGGACGGTGGTAATTAAGTTTCTTCGTACTTGGGTCTGAAATAAGAGAACAAAGCCTACTGCCTTTGACCCCTGCCTACTGCATCAGCGTGATCAACTGAAACTCTCTCCCTTTCTCTCTGTGCTGCAGCCATTTTCGCTGTCTAGAGCCTCAGAAGCTTCCTTGTGCATTAGGGTGTGTATGCATGCTGCTATCTTTGCCTGGACCTGCCCTTCCATCTCTTCGTCTGGATTACTATGCTCTCACTCTGTATCTCAGAGTATCTAGGCCAGGCTCCTTGATAATCCTGGTGTAGACCTATGCTCATCGTCACAGCTCTTTCTCAGTCTAACTACATGATCCTCAGTGTGATTTTTTTGCCGTTGTTCAAGGACTGTCACTGCACTGGACTACAAGCCCCCAAGGGCAGGGGCTGTTTGCTTTTGTTCTCTGCAGTATCCCCAGTTCCTGCTCAGTGGCACTCACTAAACATTTACTGATGAAAAGTGAATTTTGAATTGGAAATTCATAAAGGAACTGTGAATGCTAGCAGAATGGATTTGGGTCCATCTCCAAAAAAAGTAAGATGATCTTTCTCTATTTATGACAGCCAGTGACCCACAAGCCTCCTGCATACACCTAATAATCCAACAATACAAGGATCCTTAGGACAGCACAGTGTAAATAATATTGCAAAACTGACAGGCTGGGGAGACAGACGGCCAGGGTCAGATCCTGGCCTTGATGCGTCCTTCCTGGGTGACCTCTGTGTCTTTGTTTCCAGTTTCCTCCTCTGTAAAATAGTGAAAATAATAATCTCCATGGTAGAGAATGGTGAAGAATACTAAATAAGTAAAGCCCTTAGCACATAATAAGACTGATCAAATGGCAGCTGAAAGAAAAAGAGTCAACTGAGCCTGAGGGACAGTCTATTCTTGCTACTCTGTTTCTTACAAAGCACTGGGTTTAGAAACAAGGGAAGCCTTGCAGCAGGGCTGGCTCCCATTCCTCTCCCTGCTCTGTCTTGGTTGGGATGCTCATGGGAGCTGCAAAGAAGCAAAAACGGAGAGGCAGAGGATTCCTCCTTATAGTTAGATAATTCCTGCCCTATGTGCCACATCTCTGTCTCCTCCACATGGCATCTTCCTGTACTGGAGATCCAAGGCAGAGGGGCCTTATCTGCTGTCCTTGAGGAGAGGACTGTGATTAGAGCTATGATTTCTTTCTGGTAGTTTCACACACTAGCATTCCTGCCTAACTCTCACGTCAGAGAAGTATAGTCAAATTAGTTTACTTTGGCTTAAGATGGAGTTGTAACATTTGCAACATGCTTGGTACAGAATTTAGTGCCCAATAACTATCAGTTGTTATTTCCCTATCAGAAAATAGTGGATTGTTCTGAAGGCACAAGCCTAGTCTGCCCTCCTAACTTATGCGACATTTGCTAAGCACCTATCACAACATCTGGCACTCAAAGGCTTTCACGATATGAACACAGGATGAATGAGAAAACAAATGGGGGGTAAAGGTTTGTTTTCCTCTTCCAGGGCCAACGGGCTTTGGCAGGCTTGGCTGCCCTCAGATCTGCACAGTTGCCACTAGAGGGCAGAAGCAGTTAAGACAACAATACCCAGGACTAGCCAGATCCCGAATTACCGGCTTTGCAAGAGAGGATGGTGGAAAGGGTTGAAAAAAAAACCCCAGTTATTCTATATCTCTTGGGGACCATATGGAAGGGAATGTGTAGAGAGGATTGAAGTTAGACTTAAAGAAGAACTTCCAGAACACAGTTTGCTAACTACAGCTTTTATACAAGTGACTTTTTTTTTTCATTTTTTTTTCCTCTTAGCTTCATCTGCCCGAACAGAATAGATGAGAAAGAGGGCTCATCAGTCCAAGGCCTGTGTGACCTGCGACCTCACCAGGTCCTCCTAAAGTAACCCTCCTGCAGTCTGCTTTAAATGACTCCACTCTTGTAGATGCAATCATAAAATAACTTTATTGGTCAGGTTAGCCACCACTCATGCTTTTCCTGTAATAAGGATCCTTTATAAAGGCATGATGGTGTTCACATGCAGATGCTTTCTGAAGAGCCCTGGGGCAGGGGGCAGCCTTGCCCCTCACATCGGAGCTCCTTTGTTGAAATGAGCTGGTTTGGCTTTTGTGGATTCCAGGTCTGGAGCCAAGAACGTAGTCCAAAGATCCCCTCTTCCCTTCTCAGGGAAGGTGCTTCAAAGCATACACAGTATCAGGGATGTGATGGCATCTGGGCAGAGCCTATACTTGGGCTAACTCTCCTCCAACAGTCCTTGCCCCTGACTGCCCAGATGGCTTTGTCCCAACCTTGCCCAAAGGGCAGGTGGGTTAAGCCCCAGGCAACATTACCTTTTGAAATGGGAAGAATTAAGTGCTCCCCAGCCAAACTATAAAGCAAAAGCCACCTTCACTAATGAGGATATAGCTCAGAGATGTGAAAGCAGAGGGTTGTATGCCCAGCACAGGCAAGATTTGGCTGCCTGGCCTGGGCTTCACGGACCCCAGCCAGAGCTGGTACTTTTTAACTATGGCCTTAGGACAAACCAGGTGAAACAGATTAACCACATCCTCCTTCTTTGGGCTAGCAAGTCCAGGGCTGCCTGGAGTCTGTCTCTACCATCAGGATATAGAATCTTCCTGCTTGGATAAAAGGAGAGGACAAACTGTGTTTCTCATACTTTAAAAACCATGTGGCCGCTACCTTTGTGGATAAAAACCCAGGTAGGATGCTGTTTGGAATGCAGAAAGTGCTGGGCAAGAATGGAACTACTGGGGCTGCTTTCTCAACTCAGCCAATTTGAGGTGTGTTTGGCCCATTGCAGATGCTGATGGTAAGCAAAGTCTGGCCTTTCCTCTTCTGAAGTCTTATCCACCTTCAAAGAGCTACCCAGCTGCCAAAATATAGCCCTATACATTGATCTAAGCCTGAGGTTGGCTGTCTCCTCCCACATCAGGTCATGAATATTATCATCATGCTGGTGACCTCCAATCTGGTGGCTTTCCAGGGGTGAGGTTAGGGAGGTATAGAAGTGACTCCTGGTGTCCTTTCACCCTCAGACACAGTGTGGGTTGTCTCCACAGGTTGCTGGGCAGATGCTCACATGCCTTGGGGTCTCCTGACTCTGCTTAAGGCACAGAAGAGGCATCTGTGGAGGAAAGTGGAGTGGGTGAAGTGGATTTCAGAAGAGGCAGCTGGGCAAGAGGTATATTTTGAGAAGCAACAAATGGGAGCCCAGAGTAACTGCACGACCAGCCCAGCACAGAGGGAGAGCTGTCAAGTGCTGCTCACAGACAGCCAGGGATTGTTAGAAAAGTATGGTTATATACTATTGCCCATGCCACTTTTGAAGTTCCATGACCTCAGATCATTGGGAAGAACTTAAGAGCCGTGAGATTTATGGGGTTGGAACATCCAGGGATCCTTCCATCTACCACCACTTCTGTCCCTGGAAAAGAGTGAGCTTCTGCCTATGTCCTCAGCAGAAGGCTGCCTGTCCCTGATCGCCCCCCCTAACCCCACCTACAGGAAAGAAGACTACAGAGGGTGCCCGTGGACTTCTGTCACATGGTCCATCCTGGACCTTCCAGCAAAAGCCAAACCAAACCATCAAGCCAAATGCCACGGGGGCTCTCCGCCCAGTACCCGGTGCCAGGGCTGCTCAGATCTCGATGAGGCTGGCAAGGCGCAGGCAGAGGGGCGCGTCGGCAGGCATGGCGCTGCGCTTGATCTCGTTCCCGTCCAGGCGCAGCACCTGCAGCTTGGAGAAGTTCACGACGTCCACCACGGTGCAGAAGCTGCTGATGGAGAACTCTGTGGGGACAAGAGGAGCACGGGTCAGGGAGAGAAGCCCAGATTACGAACCTGAAGCCACAGTGAGATTAGCCTTTGTGAAGCAGCTTAGATAAAGGGGTGGAAGTTGGGGATGGAGGGCAGATGTTTTCCAGGATTGGAGTCATACTTACTGGCGCCACTAGGGGCAGAACTAGGGACAGAGTGAGGACTGTGCCTGCGTCTGCAGCTCACCTCCTAACCACCAACCTGAACTTTACTCTGCAGGCCCAGGAATGTTCTTAAGCGTCCTTCCCTCTGGGACATTTTTTTTTTTTTAGCAGGATAGGGGGGCAGGTGGGCAGCTGTGGGCAGCAGTAGGAAGCAGAGGGTAGCCAAAGACCAACCGTAGACACCTTGAAATACTTGATTGTTTTTGGAGAGGGAGGGCTTTGCTGAATTGCTGTGAGAAAGAAGACTGGGGAAATGGAGGGACTTAATACTTTACAGATAGAAAAAGTGGCAGGAAATTAAAGAGAGAAAGCCTGGGCCGAGAGACAAGTGTCTTTGTGTGCCAGGGCTTTGAGTGGGTTGCACGTCTCCATTCTAAATACTGCCAGAGCAGTGAGCAAGGCTCTGAGTTTAAAGGAAGCTGGGGACTCATAGAGCACTGGGGCTGCTAGGGACCTCAAAAGTCAAATAAATAATTTCCCTGCCTCCTGCATTTAATATGATTACAATCTACTCCCTTTTTTAAACCTGAAAAGAAGTCTCCTAAGATTTTCCCCTAAACCGCAGAATTCTAGTAGAGACAATAGTTCTGCTTGGATGGTATTAGCATAAATCTTTCTGTTGCTATTAACCCTGTTGTCCCTCTGGTTGTCCTCTTTGACAAATCAACCACTCTGTCTCCAGTCTACTGGGTCAGTAACTTGAAAGGAAAAGCCAAGAACTCAGCTAAAACTTCAGGAGAGATGGCAAAAGTCACCATTGAAAGCTGAGGAAGCCTCGTAGGGCTGTCTTTACCATGGTGAATGAGGCTTTCAGGAAACTTGCTCCTGTTGTCATTCTCTGCAAAGGGGGTTTGAATGAAGTTACCCATTGGGTCTTGAGGGTAGGATTGTCCATGGACACATCCCTAGCAGCTGTAATACTTGGGTAGACCCAGAGCTGGGGCTTGCTGTTGTACCAGAGGCATCCATCGGCTTGCAGCAGTGGTCAGGAGGTGCGTCAGTCTGGGGCCAGGCACGAGGAGTGGGGGCAGGGGGTGCTTTTCTAACTCTATTCTTAGGTGTGACCATGAGGGCTCCCCTTGGGAGAGGTTATAGGTATGAAGAAGACAGTTCCAAGAAAGACAGCATGGAGAGCTTAAAGAGGCTGATGAAAAAAGTGTTTTTAAATTAGCATTTTCAATGGTTTTCAGTCTCTGTTAAGCACTGACCAAGATAAGATGAGGTGAGGTTGCAGCAAATTAACTTGTATTGCAGGCATAACACAGAAAATCTAGGCCTAAAGAAAATTAGACACTGAGAAAAGTAGCGGAAACTGGGAAATACTCGTCTTTGGAAAACACTCCTGGTGGGGTAGAATTTCTGGAATACTTTTGGATGTTTCCTTTCTGGTCCCAAGGACTAGATTAAGTGGCCTCTGAGTGAGCAGGTTGGGGGCAGAGCCTAGACCGGGGCTGGGTCTATGTTATCTGTGTACAAGCAGAGCAGTGGGGTGAGGAGAAGAAGCAAAGTGGCTCAGCTTAAGTATCATTTCCAGCCCTACTTAGGATGGAGCTGCAGGCTCCGTGATAGATTCTTTCCCAGCCTGGAGCCCTCAGACTGCCTGCTAAAATTCCAGATCCCAGCTGTGGATAGGTAAATGTGGGACATACCTGTGGGGAGCTAGACACACAGTGTATATGGACTCTAGCCACATACTGGGTACTGTGAGCACCCCCCCGTCTTCCCCAAGCCCATGAATAGGACAGGCTTCTGCGTGGAGGCACTGGAGGACATTTTTCTAGCCCAAATTAAATACTGACATAAGTCTTTCCAAATTCCTACTGGTGTACCCGCCCTGCTCCACTGAATCCCAAAGCTTCTGAATAACATTCTGAGCTGTGTTCTTGCCAGGCTGGAAAAACTGAGGGAGATACTGATGGAAGAGGGAAGTGGCGAGGAGAGGACCACATCTGATTCCCCTGTGCGCCCCTGAGCTCCTGTTCTTCTTTAAGCTCCTCTCTCAGAAGCTTGTTTCAATCCCACCTCCAACACCCCCCATCCCCAAGTCCCTGACTGGTTTGCAGGGAGATGTCCCTCACGTTTGCTGTAGGAGAGGGGGCTGAGCTTGGGGAGCTGTTTTCCTGCTAGTGGTCTGCATCAGAGAGATATTCCTCACCATTCTCAGTCGGAGATGCCTGGCTCTAGGTCCTTTAGGTCAGGATTCTAATCTACATCATCTGGAGGACTTTGAGAGATGGCTTTACCTTCTCTGTGTCTCTTTTTCCCCAAAACAACAACAAAAACTGCCTGTCAACTTTAAAGTGGCAATGAGAAGAAAGGCTAATAATAATAGCTATCATTGGTTTTTAAATTCTATGCCAGGCCCTAGACAAAGCACTTTACATATATTAATTCACTACTTTAAGGAAAATAAAGCATTATTTTGTCTAAAAAGAAGGCTGAGAGAGACTAAGTGATACCTAGTCACGGGGCTTGGACTTAAATTGCACAAGAATTGATTTGGGAGTAGACACCGAAAATTTGGGGGTTGTTTGAACAGAGAATTTGTTTGCGGGACCTTAGGAAACTGCACTAATTTTATTTTCTGACAAGCGTCTGGAAGAGGTGGTCCACCTCCCATTTGAGTGGCAGATGTGGTTCTGCATGAAGGCAGAACGATGATAAAAGGTTGTGATGAAGCCTTTTCCATCCCAACTTTCTCTGATTGTATGGGTAGGTGCTAATAGATTCTTTCCCATGACAGCTGTTCTTTGCTGTCACAGTTTCAGGGTCAAACTTGGATGAAGCACAGCATACGTGTGACATTTCTGATGTGACTGCTCCTGGATTCAGAGTGTGTGGCAGGTAAGTAGTGGTAACTGCTGGTGTGATGATAGACAGCCACAAGGAAATGTCAAACGTCTGCAGCTTGCAACATCTTCAAGATGTCTTGGCTGGGCGCGGTGGCTCATGCCTGTAATCCCAGCACTTTGGGAGGCCGAGGCAGGCAGATCACGAGGTCAGGAGATCAAGACCGTCCTGGCTAACACGGTGAAACCCCGTCTCTACTAAAAATATAAAAAGTTGGCCGAGCGTGGTGGCAGGCGCCTGTAGTCGCAGCTACTCAAGAGGCTGAGGCAGGAGAATGGCGTGAACCCAGGAGGCGGAGTTTGCAGTGAGCTGAGATCATGCCACTGCACTCCGGCCTGGGTGACAGAGCGAGACTCTGTCTCAAAAAAAAAAAAAAAGACGTCTTAGAGGACCCCTCAATCCCCACCTTGGGAATAAAAAGACCCCAAAGAAAGAGAGATTTTAATAAAAAAGAGTTTAGGCTGTACATGATGGTGTCAGGCACTTCAAACTAAAGGTGCCAGACAGATGCCTCTTTGCCTTGCCCACCCGACTGTCAACTCCCAAATTGCCCTCTGGGGCTGGTGCCTCTCTCACTCAGAGGGCTGCCCAGCTTGTTAACATCTTGCTCAATGACTGATCTGTTCCCTGAGCACAGGGGAGAAAGGAATGAGAGGGAGAGGGTGACGACTCTGTTCTTCTCAGCGCTTTGATGGTGCGGTTCTATCTCAGCAGGCTCCACTTCAAAGCCCTTTGCCAGTGGTCGTTAATGAGTCCTCCCTTCTCCAGATGGAAGAGGACTTTGCTGACAGGAAGGGAGGTCAAGTGCTGGCTCAGTACCTTCCAGCTGGGATTAAGACATCAGAAGCCCTGGGGTAATGTAAGCATGTTCTGAATACTAGATCCTAAGACTAAAGGGAGCTGAAAATCAGCTAGATAATTCCATCTGAAATGAATATTTCTTAGAGTCAGGGAGGCAGCCTTTTTTTTTTTCCTTTGGGCATTGCAAGGAAGTGCTTATGAAACAGGAAGCCCAGTGTCCTAGGCTTGGTGGTAGTCAGGCTCATGTTACCCTAGGAAGGATATCTGCCCTGCCACCAGGGGGTCCTTGTACTCCAGGAAGAACTGACCAGAACAAGTGCCGCATTCAGCTCTGAGAATAAACACCAAAACACAAGACCAGGCTGTAGACGCAAGAGTAGTTCAAGTGGAAAAAGAGAGCTCATCCTCTTCTGGGACAGTGAGTAAGTGCAGGGCTTCAACCCACCATTCTCCTGAAACAGACTTTAGAAGCTAAACTTAAATCTCCCTCCCTTTGAAGTATTCCCTCCTAAACTTCTCCGAACTCATCTCTTACTGCTCCCTGACACATGACCCCTTCATCTCAGACACGTGACATTTCCCAGCTGTCCCCTACATCGACAGGTGACCTGTGAAAATGACTGGCTCCTTTGTGGCAAGCCTCTGTCCCAGAATGTCTCCATCCTGCATACCCCCAACCCATGCCCACTTATCTCTCAAGACCTGGAATGAAACTTACCTCTCCTGGAAAGTCTTCTTCTGTACCAACCCACTCCCCACTGAATTGTCTTAGCACTGCTATTTAGTATAAGTGTATTCTCTTTTGTACAGGGGTATGGCTTGGTTGTCAGGTTGCTTCATTTGTGCTGTCTGGTTCCCCTATTTCTATTTCTTTTGTTTTGCCACTAGCACTCAGAATAGTGTCTTTCAAGTGAAATAGACAGCCAGTCCCCGCCTCCCTTTGCCAAGGTCTCACCATTGATCCTATTGCCTTGGAGGTAGAGGTTCTCCAGGTTGGTGTTGACTGGGGGGATCTTCTGCAGCTGGTTGTAGGAGAGGTCTAGCTCAAGGAGGCTGCTGGAATTGAAGGTGTTGGAGGCCAGGCCATTGTTGGTTAGACTGTTGTGGGACAGCCGCACATACAGCAGCTTGGGCGCCCCCCGGAAGTAGCTATCGGGGACGGTGTAGACATTGTTGTGCTCCATGTACAGCTGCTCAAGAGCTGAGGGCAGCCCATCAGGCACCTTCCGAAGGTGGTTATAACTCAGGTCCAGCAAGATCAGTGACCGGAGGCCCCTCATGGAACTGCCCACTTCCTGGATCTCATTGTGTTGGAGGTACAAGGCCGTGAGGTTCTCCAGCCCCTCCAGAGCATTGTTGGGGACCCGTGAGATCTGGTTGTGGTCGAGATGGAGCTCTCTCAGGGATCGAGGCAGGGGACCGGGCATCCGGGTCAGGTTGTTGTGGTCCAGGTACAGCCTCTCCAGGTGCCTCAGCTTGGAGAAGACCTTCCTGCCCACCTTATCACTGGTGATCTGGTTGCCGTGGAGAGCAATCCAGAGCAGCCCTGTGGCATTGTCAAAGACGCCTTCCTGGATGGAGGTGATCTGGTTGTTCTGGAAGTACACATACTTCATGCGGGAGGGAACGAAGGGCAGGTACTTGAGGTTGCGATTGTCACAGTACATGGCCGTGGGGAAGTTGGGTGGGCAGTCGCACTCCTGGGGGCAGTCGCGGGGATCTGGAGGGGATGGAGAGCCGTAGGTGTAGGCTGGCCCTTCATCCACCCCATAGGGGTAAGGCTCGTAGGTCTCATACGGGTAAGGGTCATAGGGATCGTAGTAGGTGGACTGCTGGCTGCGGAGGTAGTGGAACCACCAATGAGGGTCATCTTCATACTGGGCCTGGGAGAGGGAGAAGAGCCCTGCCAGCAGCAGGAGGGAGGTCCACTGCATTTTGTCTCTGCAAGAAGCGGGAGAGAACAGAGCAAGCCAGCATGAGTGAGACTCCACAGAGGCAGTGAGGCAGAGTAGGCAAGCCTTAGGCTTTGAGCTATGCAGAGCTGACTTCCATGTCAAACATCTGAGAGCAGGAGCCTTGCTCTCATTTCTTCGGTGCCTCCTCCCAGTCTGGTTCTGCACTTGGTCCAGCCGGACCATGGCTATTTGGGGTGAGCTAAGTGCATTTTCCCCTGGTCATAGAGTCACAGACAGAATGTCTTTGAATGGGAACAGCTGCATTTTTTTTTTGGAGGGGCAGATTCTTAGGAGCCTCTAGCACTCTGAAAGTCCTGTGGGAAAGCTGAAAAGCCCACAGCAATCCCTGTGTTTGTGGTGTGGTGGTAAGGATGGTAGTGGGATGCTCTTCAGATCTGAACCCAAATCCAGTTTGGATGTTCCGGGGAAATAGTATTTTTCTAAGAGTCCAAGGAGAAAGCCCTAGGATGGGAGACCTCCAGAAGCCGCTTGACGCATCGAAGGGGAAGAGCTGAACTACATCTGGAAAATCTTTTGGTCTCTTGGGCAGGCTGGGAGTTTTTGGTCTTGAGTGTTTGGGGAGGAGTGTGGTCCCTCTGCAGCCACCACAAGGCTCAGGTTGCCCTCCAAAGTGCCATCATCTGTAACAGTCTGCTGAGTGAGGAAACTCACTGGTTAGCAGTTTGTGGCTACACATGCAACTTGGCTGGGACAGGGTCTTCATGCAGCAGTTACAAATCCTTTCCAGACTGAGGACCCTGGCACTGGGTGTGGCACTTGCCTTCTAAAGCAGGTACTCAGTGTGTGAAGTCTGAGTTAATCTGCTTCTCTCTTCCATGGTGCCTAGTAAGGTGTTAGCACTCCTCATGCTCCACCATGGGCATCATGCAAGAGCCATGTGGGGCCAAGAGAAATGAATGAGGGACACCAAAAGAATAGCTAGAGATTGGAAACTCTTGTGTATGCTCAAGGGAAAGCAGCTTGAGGTAGGACCCTGACATTCTCCTCTCCTTTCCCAAGCTACCTGCTCCCAGCGATGACACCTAGATGACCAGGCTCTGTGTCTAGGTCCCCACATTGCTGGAAACCTGTTGCTTTTGAACCTGTTGTGCTAATGAGATAGGAACAGGGCAGACTGAAGAGGAAATGTGGGTCTGATGTCATCTGAGAGGGAAACTAAAGGTATGGAAGGTAAGAGACTAGGGGTGGCCTGGGTACCCTACCCTGGTTACCTATAGCCAATGCATGACATACTCCTGTGAGCAGTGGGCATCTTCCTGAGTGTCACCCTTGGACAGAGAAACCTTAGAATCTTTCTTGGCCTGGAAGAGTCACATACAGCCCTCACATTGCTGTTGGGCCTACTGGGGTTGGCAACTGTAAACAGAAGAAAGAAAGGAGTATAAAAGCCAACATCATCAGATCCAGTGAACTGATGGGAAAGACCCCAACTATGACACTCAACAGAGTTACCTCCTGACCACCATCCATCCCAGACCTCTCTGTCCCCTCAAAACAGTTTCCTTGGGCCCACTTCATCCCATCAGTTCCTAGGTTGCAGAGGAGCAGGCACCCTGGCTCATCCACAGGCAGCCTCAGGCCTCAGACAAAGAGCCACAGTGTTTTGGAGAAGCTGACCCAACTGCCCACTGCCTGGGCAAGCTGGCTGGTTCCTGGCTCTGGCCAGGAGAGAAGACGAATGGAGCGGCCCACTGCCAACAGAGCATTTTTCCATGCACAGCCCTGGGCTGTTGCAGGACCAAGGTGGCTGTCTGGAGGGCTGGCACAGTGAGCCTCTGTCTCCGTTTCTCCTTCTTTCAGACTGGGCACCTTGGCAGACAAGAGCCACCTTCCCCTTCAGACTCAGCTTTCTAGGGGCTGTGCACCCTGCCCACTTCAGCCTCTTCTTAGAGCCATGGGTGCTGAAAGGGTTTGATGGGGAGCTTATGCCTCTCCTTACCCCATCCCATCTCTTAGCAATGTTGCTTCAGGGTTGCATAGTCTTACACTGTTTCCCATAATGCTAGAGGCCCTCCTGTGCTCAGAGTTTCTGTAAGGTCGAAAGTTTCCAGGACTGCCACACTATCAGCTGGGGGAAGTTTACTCAGGAGCTACTGCTGTTCTTTCATTTCTCCACTCTAGAGAAAGATCTCTCCCTCCTATCAGTGGAGAAGGTCAAGCCAGAGGCCATCCCCTCACCTGGATTGCATCCCCACCCCAATCCACAGCTCCCTGGACATGGCCAGTTCTCAATGCTTCTTTTTATTCTCTCCTTTCCACTCCAAACACACACACACACACACACACACACACATTCTACACAAAAGTTTCCCCCTCTCCCATAATAGCATTTATGTACCAAACCCCTCTATAAGAGAGATTGCAGGGACATCCAGGTCTTGGAATACCCTTCAAAATGCCCACACTCCCAGCATGATGGGATTTATGAGTAGCAGGGAAGAAGCTTCCCTAGACAGAGGGTCCTTCACTTTTTCATGCCTGAGAATTGGAGGTCCCCTCAGCACCCATAAAGGAACTGTAAGAGAAAGGTACAGGGCTGGAACCCCTCCCTTATACACCCTCTCTGCCACTCTCCAGCATCCCTGGGGTCATGGCCCAGATGTGGAGAAGGAGGAATGAACCCTCCCTGCCTCCCCATCTCCCCTATCCCCTACCACTTTTCCTTTATTTCTTTTAAGGAACTGCTAGGGACAAACCCGAAGTAAAACGACTATACTTACCTCAAGTTGAACTTTTCAGAGAGTGACCACGTCCCTCTGTCTGGCCTCCTTGGGTTGGAGAACGTGTGAGAGAGGAAGAGAGAGAGGAGTGAAAGAGTCTACTGAGAGTGTGCGTGCCTGTGCCAGACCAGGGTCCCGCCCCAAATTCCTAATCAAATATTGTGAAAAGGGGCTGAGGAACCCGGATCCTGGTTTTTTTCAGCTCTGCTGCAGGGGCGGAGTTCACGCTCAACCACGCAAATCCTTCGGTCCGCCTGACGCTATAAAAACCACCTTTTTTCCACTCACTTATCTTCCCTGAAACATTGGCAGCCCTGGGTCCCTTTCTGCTGAATGAGTTAGTGGCGCCCTAGAAGTTATTTGTACAGTCTCTTATGAAGCGCCTGGATTTCTCATTAAAGCCACAAAGGCAGATGCAGGGATGGGGAGGGCCAGGGTTTGGTAAGAGACATCTTAACTCCTTCAGCAACCCACATGTCCCTCCAGAGAGCGAGAACTCGCGCTTCTCAGCTCCCCCTATAGACAGGTCATCAGGCTAGTGGATAAGGGAGCATGAATGACAAGGGACAGCCGGCTCTGGTTCCAGTTCTATCCCTAAGCAGTGTAGACTTTTCTAGGCTACAGGTCCTGCCCACCTCCACCACTGGAACAAAAGGAAAGGCAGGGACTCCAGCATTTGCTGATCACTGCTTATGCACTAGCATCATCCACTTCCACTTAATGCTCACAACAAATTCAGAGTTAATAACACTTACCTTGCTGGGTTGTAGCAAGGACTGTATCAGGTGATGTGTGGGAGGCTCCTGACCTGGCACATAGCTGAGGTTCACTGTGTCCTACCCATTTCACAGCCATAGAATTCCTCAGCCAGGGAAAGACAAGATCAGAAAGCTGGGCAGGAGCTGTACCATGAAAGGACTTTTGGGCGATGGAAGTGATTTGGTTTTTATTCTAAATGTTTTTGTTGTTGTTGTTGTTGTTTGTTTGTTTGAGAAGGAGTCTCAGCTGGGCGTGGTGGCTCATGCCTGTAATCCCAGCACTTTGGGAGGCCGAGGCAGGAGGATCATGAGGTCAGGAGATCGAAAAGGAGTCTCGCTGTGTCGCCCAGGCTGGAGTGCAGTGGCACAATCTCTGCTTTCTGCAACCTCCGCCTCCCAGGTTCAAGCCGTTCTCCTGCCTCAGCCTCCTGGGTAGCTGGGACTACAGGCACACGCCACCACGCCCAGCTAATTTTTTGTATTTTTAGTAGAGACAGGGTTTCATCATATTGGTCAGGCTGGTCTTGAACTCCTAAACACAGGTGATCCACCCACCTCAGTGCCCCAAAGTGCTGGGATTACAGGCGTGCGTCATCCGGTCCGGCCTATTCTAAATGTTTAAAAAAAAAAACATGTTTCAAGCAGGAGAAGCCATGGGATCTGATTTGCATGGGATCTAATTTACATTTTAAAAGCATGTAGGAGGGGCTGCTGTATGGAGAAGGGGAGGCCAGGGTGGAAGCAGGGAGGCTCCAACCCAGCCTCAAGGAGAGGTAATGGCAGATTGGACTGGTGCAATGGAAGAGAAGATCTTATATTTTAGACAGAGAACTGACAAGTCTTGCAGAGTTAGGAAAAGTCAAGGATGATTCCTAGAATTTTAGTTTGAGCAACTGGGTAGGTGGTGGTAACATTTCTTGACATGGGAAAGGTGACGTGGGACTGAGTTGGGTAGAAAACCAAAGTTACATTTTGGATATGCTGTTAGAGATGCCTGCTAGGCATTCCCCTGGAGATGCACGTAGACCGTTGGACATATGAATCTGAATCTGGAGTTTAGGGGCTGGAAGAAAACATTTGAGAACCATTATAATGTGGGTCACACAGAATCTCAATAGCTTAGATAAACTCATGTGTCCTAAATGTTCTCTCCTCAAGTATGTTAACTGGCTTATGCCAACATCAAAGAAACACCTTTATCTTAAAAAAATACCAACTGAGAAACCCTGAGATGACTTGAATTTGAAGAATTTAGAAGTGTCGAGGCAGATGGTCCTTTTGGTTTCTCCAATAGGTTTGAGCTTTTGACTTAGCGTGTGGGCTGTCAGAAAGGGCCTTGTCAGGGACCCATTCTCAGAATTTAAGAAGAGATTTCAAAAAGATGAAACCTAATGAATGAGCCTTTTCTGACCACCTACTATAGACTAGGTGGTTTACTTATGTTATCAAAGATAACAGTAGATATTTTGCATTGGAATTAGTGTTTTTTTTTCAAAGCTACTTTTAATACTTTGGGGTGAGCCCCACAGGAATAAAAAAACACTGGGAAGGGGTAACCTCCCACCCGCCACTTCCAGGAGGGGCCAGGGGGAGAGAGGCTACGTGAGGGGAAGGAAGCACAAAAGGGACCCGCTGCAGACTCAGGGCAAAAGGAGGCCATGGGTGCGGGGACCTGCGGGCACTGCAGGAGGAAACGTGAGGGTGGTGGGACTGGCTCCAGTCACATAGGCGAAGGGCAGGAGGGTTGGACATGAAGCCACAAAGCTACTCGGGTTCCTCCTTCTTCTCTTTTGCCTTCTTCTGCTCCTGCTGCTTGGTCTCTGAGCTCCTCTGCTTGCCGCAGCAGCAGAAAGCCCGTCATCTCGACGTTTTCCCTTAACTGAGTCACTCTGCTTTTTCCTATTTTTCTAGCCAGTAAGCTCATGCTGGTTACTGCGGGTCATGGTGACAGCAGTGGCTCCGACCTGCCTCTGTTATGTCACCTCATTCTGTCAGGATTTTTTTTTTTTTATTTTTGACCCTGCTTTCAGCCAAGGAATTAGGGTTTTAGTGATATAAAGTGACTAGCTGGTAAGTGGCAAAACAAGGATCTGAACCTTGGTCTACATGACTTGAAAGCCCACACACTTTTCTCTAACTCTAGCACAGAGGATTGGCAAAGTGGAGGGGCAATGACTACCCTGCTGTCAGGCTGGCCTCGACTAAGATGAAGCTTAATTAATTACGATTGACCAATCTGCCTGAATCTGGGGGCAGGGGGGTTTTAAAGTGAGATGGGGCTGGGGTATAGGGGTTCTCTTCCTCATCCCACCCATATTTCATTTCCGTTTAATAAATTTGAGCATCTACTATGTGTTGGGCATGATCCTAAGTGTTGGAGACACAAAGAAGGCTTCGGTATAATGCCTGATTATAATAAAGCAGATCTGAATGTAGCAAACTCTGACCTCATGAGTGAAGCAGAATGGCCTTACTGTGAAAATGCTTATGAATAATGCACAGATAACTTTCTAGTCATTTTTGAGTCCAGAAAGCAGTCACCTTTCAGTGGAGGACACTGATCTTGGCAACCGAGCCTGGGAAACACTTTTAAATGAGCCTAGATAGCCTGGACAGATTCACCATTGGGTACAGATGTTTATTTTTTTAAATTCCAGCATGCTGACTAATTCTGCATTTACTAACAATGAAAGTTACTAAAGTCTGGGAACCAAATAGTGACTGGATTCTTCCCAACCGGGCACCACCAAAAAGACAGTATCTCCATGGGGTTTTTTGGCCATTTCTAAAGTGGTGAGATGTGCACCAGGTCTTTAGCTATCCATCCTGTTCCAAGGCAGGCCTGGGATGAAGGAAGGATGGAAGGGATGATTGGGACCAGGTCAGAAGGCAGAGTTTCAGGGAACCACCCACTGTTCAAAAGTTCTTTTCTCTAACCTTTAGTGGAGGTTTCTACCTCCATTTTGGCCACTGCTGCTTTGTTTGCCTGGTTCCTGGATCTAGGCCCTCAGAGCTTGCCTTCAACATGGGAAGCCAAGAATGAGATATTGATGTCCACCAGATTGCTTGCTGAGGGAGTCCACATGTGAAGGAGGACACCAGTATCTTCTAGGGGGTGTCTAGCCAGCACTATGCAGTCACTAGACTGAAAATAAACTAAAGAGAAAGGCAATGTCATGCATTTCTGTAGCCCCTGTCCCAGCTGGGCACACAATGCGTTGGCACTTAGTAGGCAATCAGTAAAGGGTTATGAAAGGAATTGTATTTTTGGCTCCCCACAGAGTATGTCTGTCTTCAGTACTCAATGCTGGGTGGAAAAACCACCACCAACCAGGCCAGGAAAACCTTTAGACTTTCCAGGGGTTCAGGCCACTGCTATTTCCTCCCTACCCAGAAAAGTACAGGTTAAGCCACAATCACTAGGCAAAGCTCATTGCCTCTGATGCTGGACCCACCCTGTCTGGGAGAAATGAAGTCCCTTCTGACTCAAGTTCCCACCAGCAAAGACACAGTGACGTTCTTGTGGCCACCAACCCTTTTCTTCCTCTTCATCCCCCACAAGACTCAACAACCCTTGTTTTTATGATCCAGCCTCTGATCCCAGATAACTCAGGGAAGGTGGAGGGCAAGAGGGTGTGACTGAAAACCCACCCAACCAGATTTCTTGAATTGAATATACAGAGGTCAGCAGAAAGATGACCATGGCGATATTATATAATCCAGACCCCGCTGCTGGCCCATCCTGAAAACTCTTGACGCCAGCGAGGGAGTTTTTCCTAGTCTGATGTTTCAATGGAAATTCTTGGCTACATTGGCACCCAACAATGGTGTCCCAAAGCTTCCAAGAGAGATATTTTCTCCTATTCCCTTGGCACCAAAGGGCCATTAGAAGTCCTCATCATGGAGAGTGTCCTCTTTCCAGAAGGATGAGAGCCATGAAGATGTTGGAGCTGGAGAAAGACTTGTTTTCTTTGAACTGCAATAGGAGAAAGACCTCAACTTCCAAGTTCTAGAAGATGCCTGAGGGCTTATAATTTCCTTTTAGCAATAAGCTGCTTAAAAAGAAGGTAGAGAACAACCTTTCTCTTTTAATGGATAGCATCTCTTATTTTTACTGTGTGTTTACTGCATGCTTGATATTGTTAACATGATGATGACATGATGGATCCCAGAAGACCACTTTCTAGAAGGTATGAGTGTATTTGAGTCAGGAAAGGGGGGCCGTTCAGGGAGAGATACCTGAATAAGGAAGGAGGCAGAGGGGATAAATTAAAACCTGAAGGCTAGAGGATTTGGCCATTCAGTGACTCTGTACATGATGTTCACCTTTGTTCTGCAAATGAGCCAAGAACTAATGGTGTCCCTCAGACTGTGCTGAGGGCTGTTGGAAGAAACCAACATAAGACAGACCAGCTCCCAGGATGCTATTAAGGAAATTACATGACTGCAGGGGAGAACAGACCCAGATATTAGCTCTAAAATGCCAGTCCTAGATATTAGCTCTAAAATAGTTTAGCTCTAAGTTAGCTGAAATACCAGCTATCATTTCTGAGATTCTCACCACAACCCTGAGATAGGTATTATCATACCTTATTTTTACAGATGAGGAAATTGAAGTTCAGAAAAGCTAATTAATTTGTTCAACATTGGATAGTAATTAAATAGCCAAGTTGGGATTCTAAACTTAAGTCTGGCTGTTCCCAGAGTTTGAGTTTCTAACCACTATGCTATATAGAATCTCCAGTGTAGAGGAAAAAGCATGGGCTTGGAACGTAGTTATATGCTCAAATTCCAGCCCTACCACTGATTAGCTCTGTGACTTTGGGCTAATTGCTTAAGTATCAATGAGACTCAGTGTCCTCATTCATAAATGGGGACAATAACCGTAACCTCGTTAGCCATTGGGAGGATGAAATGAGATAAAGAATAAAGGCTTCTAGCAGAGGGGCTGCCATGTGATGGCCCTTCAGCAGCAACCACTCTTGGTTATTTTAATAGATTGGAAGCTCCCTGAGGAAAGAGGCAATGTCATTGTGCCTTCAAAAGTTAGCACAGTGCTTGGCCAAGTGCTGGCCTGTAGAAGGCCCATTCTAACCCTTACTTGAATAAATGAAAGGTGAAGAAGTTAGCTTTCACTAGAGGCAAGTAAATCTACTTTGGTAACTTAAACCAGAGAGAAGCTAGCCAAGGGTAGAGCAGGACTTTTGATGACTGGAATCATCAAACCCCCAACAAGAGCAAGAGAGCAGGGCAGGGTTGGTACAGAACTGTCTACAGCTATGGAAAAATATCTTCAGGGGATATATAGGAAAATATCTTACTTACACAGGGTATATTAGTCCATTCTCATGCTGCTATGAAGAAATACCTGAGACTGGGTAATTTATAAAGAAAAGACTCACAGTTTAATTGCCTCATAGTTCCACATGGCTGGGAAGGCCTCAGGAAACTTATAATCGTGGCAAAAGAGGGAGCAAACATGTCCTTCTTCATGTGGCAGCAGGAGAGAGAAGTCCCGAGTAAAAGGGGAAAAGCCCTTATAAAACTATCAGATCTCGTGAGAACTCACTCACTGCCTCACTGTCACAAGAACAGCATGGGGGGACTGCCCCTATGATTTAATCACCTCCCATGAAATACCTCCCACAACACATGGGGATTATGGGAACTACAATTCAAAATAAGATTTGGGTGGGGACACAGAGCCAGACCATATCACAATGGGTCATGGAAAAGGTCAGCATCCAAGAGCCAAGTACAAAGCATCCCAGAAGAGATGTCCTGAGTCTTAGCAGTTTAAAAATCAAGTTTGGAGTTGGGGGAAGAGTTGACCAAGAATACCACTTAAGCAGTAGCATCATTATGAATTCCCTGGAGCTAAAGAGACAGGGTAGCTCCTACCTGGGATGGGTGGGGACATTTCTTCAAGGTGAGAAGCGTGACATATCCCATGTGCCCATCCAAAGGTCTAAGAACTTGGATTCTAGTTCCATTGGAGTTCAGTGAAAACCCAGAATAATGACCCCTAGTAATGTGTGAGATTTCTTTAACTCTAGTTTCTTCCATTGTCTGTTTGCCTGTGTATAGTCCTTATGGTAAAGCAACAGTTAGACAATTTTTTAAAATAAAGAAAACCTCTTAAAAAGAGGGATCTATTTAGGAAAGCCAATGTATCATTGTTGTCTTGGAAAGGGAGTGGATTTGGGGTCAGACAGAAAGGTTTTGAATTCTGGAAATCTAGAACATTTCCTAAATTGTTTTGGTCCTCAGTTTCCTTATGTGTAGAGTAGGGATGACTAACACCTATCTCAGTGGGTGGTTGTGAAACAATTGTAAGTATCCAGCATACATCTGGCTTAGGCTAGATGCTTAGAAAATGCTCGCCTTGGGTGTTTGTCCAGAGACTAGTTGGTGGGTAGAAAGGAGGACCCTATGTCCTAATCTATCGAAAAATCGAAGGGAAGATTATTTTAGTAGGAATGTAGGTGGTGGCAGCTTGGAAAAAAAAAGAGAGGACATACCTGACATTTGTGAGACAAAACAGAAGTAGGGATTTAACAGACCCAAAGCGTCTAAGCTTCTGACAGTACAGCCCTCCATTTAAGAGGGATGGTTCTCTCGCTCCCCCCTCTTTTTTTTTTTTTTTTTTTTTTTTTTTTTGAGAAAGGGTCTCACTCTGTCTCCCAGGTTGGAGTGCAGTAGCACAATCATGGCTCACTGTAGCCTCAACCTCCAAGACTCAGATGATCCTCCCACCTCAGCCTCCCAAGTAGCTAGGACTACAGGTGCATGCCACCACACTCAGCTAAATAAAGGAGGAATGGTTCTTAGCCCCGGCCACATATCAGAACCACCAGGGAGCTTTGGAAAACACCCACACCCAGGCTCCTCTCCAGGTCAGAATCTCTGCAGACGGTGCCTGGCATCCTTTTTATTGATTGATTGATGATTTTAGTCTGTAGCCAGGTTTGAGAGTGCTATCCAGAGGTGAGGGATGGACACAATGACCTCTAAAATAATCTTTAAACATCTAGCTCCGAAAAGAGGGGTTGTTCAAACTTTTCTTTAAGAAATAACCAGAAAGGGATAGAAGGATGATTGTGTACCTCCAGGTGATCAAGGGGCATAATCTAAAGCAGCCCGCTCAAGACAAAATCTCACATTTGACGTTAACAAATCATGCAAAGTTTGCATTTTATCTTACCAAATATTAGTGTTTATTTCAACAGAATTTCCTTGCCTCCCCAGAGATCCTTGAATAAAAATGGTGCTCTAGACCCATCATGCTTCTCTGGGGTTTTATGAACTTCTAGCTGTCCCAACTTGAGTTGCACAGTTTTAGGCTATTCTTCTTGGCTGGTAAGGTCCTCAGCCACTGGAGGGAGAGCTCAGAGAGCTGTCTGTTTGCATCTTGGGAAAGCACCTTGGCTGTAGGGTTCCCTGGGGCAGGAACTGGCATACCCATCTCCCTATGTCTTTTGCTGCAGCTTCTTGGGGGGCACTGTTGCTTCTTCCATAACTTTCCTGCTGAGAAAACTGCCAAATGGCTCCCAGCCAGGCTGTTTGGTAAGCTTTGTGAAGAAATAAATTCCTTTCCCAATCCCTATGAGGCTGTATTTCTAAGGGAATTTGCAAGAATAGAAATTGTTTTGATCTTCAATCAAGATACAGAAAGATTCACTCCCTCCCCCATCTCCTACTTCTTAAATTTCCAATCACTTTAAGAAACACACCCTGTGGGAGAATTTGCTTCTCCCCCATCTGGCTGCCAGCAGCCAGCCTCAAAGTTCTCAAACTTCACCACCTTAAGGCATTTCTATCTGGCCTGCTACATTTTTTTCAGACCTACCCCTCTCTCCATTGGCCCCTCTTTCTCCAGCTCCCCATTTCATTAACTTCAATGAAATAGCATCTTCTAGGAGCAAGAGTGTTCTGGTTTAAGGAGATCACTGGGGTGTGGGGTGTAGGATTAGAAGGAGGTGACTTCTTTCTGGAGAACTGGAAGAGGGAATGAATATTTTTTAAGGCTCTAGACTAGGTCCTCTACCTACATCATTTCAATCTTTTAAATCAATTCATCATTTGTTTTTGTTTTGTTTTGTTTTGTTTTTTTGAGGTGGAGTCTTGCTCTGTCGCCAGGATGGAGTACAGTGGCACAATCTTGGCTCACTGCAACCTCCACCTCCCGGGTTCAAGTGATCCTCCTGCCTCAGCCTCTGGAGTAGCTGGGACTACAGGTGCGAGCCACCACACCCAGCTAATTTTTTGTATTTTTAGTAGAGATGGGGTTTCACCATGTTGGCCAGGATGGTCTCGATCTCTTGACCTAGGGATTCGCCCGCCTTGGCCTCCCAAAGTGCTGGGATTATAGGTGTGAGCCACTGTGCCCAGCCTCAATTAATCATTTGAATCTTTGATGAACTGAGATTTAAACACAAGCCCAGTACCTGGCATATAGTACCAATGAATGAATGGATGAATAAACTAATGGATAGAGTAAATTGGGACCAAAGTCAGGGTTCTTTCGACTACAACACCTGCCTGAGGGCCACCAGGAGCTGTTGTCAGTGATCCTTCTCAGGGAAATATACAGAAAGATTCTCCCGGGCTTCTCACAGCTGCTGCCAATCCCTCACCATCCATGCTTCTCTTGTTGCCAAGGATCCCTCCTCACCAATGGCGGAAAGAGGTGGCCCCTGAGGCGCTCAGCATTTGCCCTGAGACCTGCATTACAACCCATACTTGTCTGAAAGAGTCAGCTCTCCCCACCTGGGAATGCGAGTTGAAAAAGAGCTCTCCCAGAAAGCCTCAACTCCAACAGATCTGCTCCTGGGGTCTCCATGTGACATCCAGCTTCCCGCTGGATCGTGGTGGGTCATAGCAGGACCCACCCTACCTACTGCAACAGGCCTGTCTTACCCTGTCCTCTCTGTCCACCAGAACCAGGTTTCCATGGAAACCAAACCTGGAGGGTACATAAGAGGAGGGCTTTTCCTTTTTATCCTTTTTTTTCTTTCTGTATTCTTGCCTAATTCTTTGACTTTGGCCCTGGTTTGTACTGACATTACTGAAGGAACAGCTCCCCCAGCTCTGCACCCATGCCTAGGATATTGTAGATAGCAGTTTGATAAACTGCATTGAGTTAACAGCTGCCAGACACACCATCTTGCCTCAACAGGAGGGAAGAGAGCCGCAGGCATGACTAGGAAGGCAGCCGAGGAGGAGGCAGTGAGGAGTGGGAGGGAGCGGGGAGCAGGAGGCGATCCTCTAAGTCGGAAAGGCCGTGGTCTGCAGCTGGCTACTGTGGATTTGTAGGAGAGGAGCTAGCGTCACCAATTATTGGGATTTGACATGAGCAAGTGCTTTTATTTGGAAGGAAATAAAGAATTGAAAGGTTAGTAGCTGGGACATGTGCTTGCCTAATCATACTGTTATCCTTAGAGACCTGTGTCTGCAACCCTAGACTGGGAGCCCCGTGGAGGCTCAGAGATGTGTGGGGATATCATCAGCCAGCATTTTAAGTAAGTGGAAGAAGTGACTGGGGTGCAGGGACAAAGTTGATGCTTTAACTAGTGTCCTCTCTGCTGTGTGAGACCCTCTTCTAATGTAACATAGAGGAAGGGATGGGAAGGAGCACCTGCTGGCTGTAGGTAAAGGCAAGTCAGATTGTGTTCCTATTCTTTCTTGTTTCTTTCATGTTTACTTCCCTTCCCTCCCTCATCTCCCTCCTCCTCTTTCTTTCTTTTTTTTTTTCCGCCTGTCTTCTTCTCTCTCCCGGCTTTAAGCTGGATGCCACTCCAACTACAGAGGACCACCTCTGACAAACTCTCTCCTCTCTTCTGTATTCTGTATGCAGAGATGAGTGTGTGTGTGTGCACATGTGTGTCCTTTTACATGTGTAGGAGAGGGCGATGGGTCAAGCAGTTTGAATGGCTTGTACTGGCTCCCTCTCCTTTCCCACAAAACCTCATCCAGACCCCTGTCTGTGCCATGATTGAGGCAACCACATGGCAGCCATTGAGTTTGGTACAGCCGTCAGCTGCCAGGAGCTTCTCATGAAGCCTCAGTACCTCCCAGGCCTGGGAAAAATGCAAGGAGACACGAAGGAGCCATCGTCTAAGGCCCATGGCATCCGGGAATTGAGTGGGCTTGGCCACCAGGTCGAGGGAACCTTGAGTGCTGCTGGCAGGGCCTCTGGCAGTTCGTGTGGTAACTGCAGCGCCAACCCAGGGCAAAAGAGCCCAGTGGCATGCACTCACTTCCTCTTTCAGCTTTGCAATTCAAAGGGGTCACCTGGTTCAATTTATCTAGGTTCATTAGGGTCTGTGACCTCAGAATCAACAAGGCAGCTGATCCAGAGGTTGGTAACCAGATGCCTTCTAGACCTCTGTGTCCTGAGGAGGGACAGGGGGATGAATATAGGAGACCTGATGACTCCTCCTCCTTGGCAGTCTAAAAAAGTAGCCTTTGCCTGATGAGTCAGGAACAGCACTACACTGCCCTGTCTGCTCAGCCCTGCTGGGATCTTTATGTAAAGTATAAAACCCAGTGCAATCAGCGGAGGAGGATACCAGTCCCAGAGTGCTGAGAGCAGCAATGATTCAGCCACCCCTCCTTCCCATGGTGCACATCCATCCCTACAAGGCCCTGGCTCCCCTCCTTATCCCTGCTTCTCCAGGGACCCTCCTGAAGAGAGGCAGGAGTGGAGATCAGCTTGGAGATCAGCTAGGGAGAAGGAGCCAGGGAGTGTGGCACACTATTAATTAGCTAAAAGCAAATGCCACCTGCATAATGCATTATGGCTGCTGCCTCTGCAGCCTCCCACTCTCCACTGGCCTGCTGCTTGCTATTGTCTCTGGAGCCTGTCTCGCCTTTATTGGAGCCCTGATGAAGCACTGCTGTGTATGAAGTGGCTCGGTGTTAATAGAAACTCATCATATTCACTGATAATCCTCCATTGCCTGAGATGGGCCAATTAGGAGCTCTCAGGCACATTTGCTTACTGCAGAGGGGCCTCCCTGTGGGAACTGTGTGCTCCTGAGCACCACAGTCTGTGGGCACATCAGTGTATGCATGGGTAACATATGCCTGTGCAGTTTGGCAACAACACTGACCCAGGAGGCTGAATTCAACCATATGTAGTGGAGCATGGCTGCAATATGCTTGTGTGGGAAAGTTAAGGCAAGCTGCCCCCATTCCTTCTCATTTTAGAGGAATGAGTTAGCTGGCAGTTATTTATTTGTAAATAATCAAAAACCAAAAAAGCCAGACAAGCTGCAGAGGGTGCTCCACATGGAAACTGTGCTCCTGAGCCATGACTTTAAACAGTGCGCAAACTTCCACAGAGACAGATGTTTCTATCTTTTATTGAGGTGAAATCCACATAACATACAATTAGCAGTTTTAGAGTGTACAATTCAGTGGTATTTAGTGTATTCCCAATGTTGTGCAGCCACCACCACTCTCTATTTTCAAGTCTTTTTTGTAACTCCAGAAGTACACCCTATGATTCTCTGGCAATCATTAATCTATTCTGTCTCTATGGATTTACCTATTCTGAATATCTTATATAAAATAAGTCATAAAACATGGGATTCCGTGTCTGGCTTCTTTCACTTAGCATAATGTCTTTAAGGGACATGCAGGTTGTAGCATGTATCAGTACTCCATTCCTTTTTATGGCTGAGTAATATTCCATTGTCCATATATACTATGGCTTGTTTATACAGTCATGGACATTTGGGTTGTTTCCACCTTTTGGCTATTAGAGTCAAGTTGCTATGAGCATTCATGAACAAGTGTTTGAGTGGCTTGTTTTGTTTCAATTATTTGAGGGTGTATACCTCAGAGTAGCATTGTTGGTTCGTTGGTAATTCTGTTAAGTTTTTGAGGAAATATATTTTTTATTTGATCCTCACAGCATCTCCGTGAGGTAGAAAGGACAGATATTAAAGAGAATGCATATTAAGCATCCAGCTCATCACCTAGCACATAATATGTGCTCAATAAATTAAAAATTGTTACTATTGTCAGGTGCAGAAACTGAGACTAAGAATGGAAGTGACTTGCTCAAGCACACTCTAAGTAGCAGATATCAGAACTAAATGGAAAGCTTCCAATTTCTAGCCCATAAGGCCAGTCTTCTTGGAACTCAGGCCATAGTTTTTTTTTTTTTTTTTTTTTTTTTTTTTTTTTCCAGAAAACAGCCCTGGTAGTATGAATTTCCCCATGGGCTTAGAGATCTAACCCACTCTGGCTTAAGGAAAACAGACAGGACAACTGAGCAGAGATAGCTTTTGCATCCAGTCCTGTAATGATCTCGCCTTTTTCCAGTGCCTTGGCTGCTGCAGGCCTGCCAGCACATAGAGAGTGGCATTGATTGTAATCGACATCTGTTGAGCTGTCACTTCCCCCAGCTCCTGTCCTCCCTCCAGAGACCCTCACTTTCCTGCCTTGTGGGTGCATCTGCAGAAGTAGCTGCATTGAGTCTCCACTGAGGCAGCCAGGGGCGGTGTGAGCTGGAGGCTTGCCACTACAAAAGGATCCTTCTGTTTTTCTCTCTTCATCTGGGAACCTGGGGAGCATCTTATGTCTGCATCAGTGTTGCCACAGGGACTTGACCCGTTGCCCTCGCTTCAGAGGGCAGGATCTGCAGCCCAGAGGCGTTAAGTGACTTTCCAGAAGTCAGGCAAGGGAATGATGGCTCAATATCCTGGCTGGAGCCTTCTGACTAGCCCCTGTTTTCTTACTCTCCCCTGTTCCTGCCTTATCTATCCTCTGATACTGACAGCAGGCGCGCAGACTCCTGGCGAAGAGAGGGATCACAAACTCAGACAGGAAGGCGCGACAAGAAGCCACGTGGCTTGCGCCTGCCTCTAGGCAAGATTAGACTAAACTCCTGTGGGTCTTGCTTACCCCTGCTGGTATAGCAGAGATGTCTCTGGTAGGAGGAAGGGAGGGGGATGTGGTGGACAGGCTATTCTCAGGGACTTGATAATTATTGCTTTGTTTCCTTAACCATCCATGATCCCAGCCCTGGGGTCTACCTTCTGATCTCCTCCCTCCCTTCTTGTTCAAAGTCTATGGTTTTACTGCTTAAAAAAAAAAAAAATGTGTCAGCCACTCCCAGCTTTTACAATTCTGAAAGTGTCAAGACCAGTGAAGAGTTGTGTGTTGTGTTTTGTTTTGACGTCTCTAAAGAAAGCGATGGGGAAGAGCCCTAGAGAGGCTTAGCTTCAGGGAAATCCTGAGCCTTAAAGGAAGGAGAGCAGGGGGTTCCCCCAGTACATATACAGGCTTCCATCTTTTTACTGCTGCCTCCAATGATTCTTAGTGACACAGAGGTTGAAATGGGATGCGTCGTCCAATCACTGGCCTGGCATGGGGCAGTGGTTACCTTGGTTAGGAGGAAATGGAGAGTGATTGCCAGGGGGGCAACTGGGAGGCAGGCAGTATTCTATTCCTTGACCTAGATGGTGTTTATGTGGGTTGTGCTGCTTTGCTTGAGCTATACATTTGTGTTTGTGCATTGCTATATGTGTGTTATTACACTTCACAATAAAAAATTTAAAGAAAAAGAACTTTGGCTTAAGAGTTAGAATATTTGGGTTCAGTCTTTGCTCTTCCACTTATTTGTCATGGTATCACAGGATAATCACCTTAATCTCCCTGATCTTCAGTTTTCACATCTATAAAATGAGATCAAAAAGCCTTTAAACTCTGATCATGTGCGGTGGCTTATGCCTGTAACCCTAGCGCTTTGGGAGGCTGAAGTAGGAGGCTCGCTTGAGCTCAGGAGTTCAACGTTGCAGGGAGGTATGATGGTGCCACTACACTCCAGCCTGGGCGACAGAGCAAGACTTTGTCTCTAAAAAACAAACAAAAGAATGGTTCACATGTGAAATATGGTGTTATTTTATGTAGAGCCAGATAAAGTTGGGGATCAGCAGGAGGGTAAAGGCTGCCGATGGGAATGGGGCCAGCCACAGAAAGGTCAGCAGTGGTGCTTCAGGTCTGGGGGAGAATGTTAGTGTTCGTTTCCTAGAGCTGCTGGAACAAATTACTACAAACTGGGTAGTTTAAAGCAAAAATCTATTTTCTCACTGTTCTAGAGGCTAGAAGTCTGAAATCAAGATACGGGCGGGGCCCCTTTCTCTAAACCTTCAGAGAGGAATCCTTTCTTGCTTCTTCCTAGCGTCCGGTGGCTCCCAAGAATCCTTGGAGCTCCTGGGCCTGTGGCTGCATCACTCCAACCTCTGCCTCTGTCTTCGCATAGCCTTCTTTGTGTATCTTTGTACCCAAACCTGCCTTTTTTTTCTTTATAGACACCACACTCCAATCCAGTATGACTTCATCTTAACTTGATTGCATCTGCAAAGACCCTATTTCCAATTATGGTCACATTCACAGGGGACTAGGACTTCAGCCTATCTTTCTGGGGCACACAATTCAACTTACTAGCATGATATTCTATGTAGGGCGACAGAAAATCCAGACTCAGACCCCACTTCTACCATTTTGTGGCCTTGCATACTGGCTTCTCAACTTAAAGGAGAAAGTAAGTAGGTAATTAAGCTTTGTTAAGTGACTGAAATGTGATGGAAGGGTATTGTGAAGTTGGTGGTATCTTTCTATTTTACAGATAAGGAGATTGATCCGGGAAGGGGCACAAAGGCTACCCAAGCATACGGCTGGTAAGAATGGTTTCCTGGAACATGAGTGGTGATGGGTTTCAGTCCATCTGGATTTCAAGTTTGATATAGTAAAAGCCTTATGATTTGATAGAATACCAGAGGGTTGATTCCTGGTCCGCAAGTGAATCAGAAGATGGGAGATTAAATAAATAAACTGTAGTTGAAACCAGAAACCAAGACTTGTACTGGCCTTGGGGAAATGATTTAGACTGCTAGAGCCCTGAGACAGGATGCACGACTATGTCATTACCTCTGGGCAGTGGTCAGTGCAGCACAAAGCCCTGCTCTGGACATGTGATGTGGACCTTGAAGGACAGGGCAGATTCAAATCTCTGCTCTATCTGCAACTGAAGTGGTCCACAGCTGCAACCCTACAGTGCCTTGACTCAGACTGGGCATGAATAGGTTCCCATCTTGAATTGTCTGTGGGTGGTCAGCCTGTCCACCTGTCCTCTACAGTCTGAGACCCCTAGAGACTCCGTCTGCTGGGCATGCAGCACAGCCCACCTCCCAGGCACTGTCTGAATGTAAGCACTGTGCTAGGGATGCAGAGAAGGAATGGGTTTTCCCACTCTGAGGAATTGGCCCTGTATCTGGGGTACATTCCCTCTTCTGAACCCTCTTGCCAGCCCCTTCTCAGGGGCCTAGCTCTCCAGCAGGTAAGGATTGATCTTCTTTTGCCCCGGCCCTCTCGTGGGGCCACAGCTGCAGCTGCCAACAGTTCTGGTCACAGCTCCAGGTGCAGGGGAAAGGAAAAAAGCGATTCTGTTTGCTCATTTAACAGCTTTGAATAGAGCCTTTCAGAAGGGCCTTTGCTTGGCTGGCTCTCTGGCGGCCAACAGAAACTGCTGCCAGGTATATCAACAGCCTTGGAGAAGTTGTCTATTCCAGCCTTTTCCTTTCAACAGGCCAGTCACCTAGAGAAGACTAAAGATGCCCCAGGGTTTGCTCCCTACCATTTGGGCTGCACTGGATAGGGTCAAGGGACCACAGCTGGAGTCAGACTTCTACAGGGTCCCTTGGATCAATGGCTCCCAAACTTGAATCTACCCAGGACCACCCAGGGCAACAGGTTCTCAGACTGGAATTGCATCAGAATCACCTGAGGAGTTGTTAGTGCATTTCTAATAAGTTCTCAGGTGTGGCTGCTGCTGGGGTTCACACTTTAAGGACTACTGATCCAGGGAGTTATAAACACAGAGTCTCAGGCCCTTATCCAGGAGATTCTTGGTTTGAACTGGATGGAGCCTAGGAATCTATATGTTACCAAGCTTGCAGGTGATTCTGAAACACAAGGTTTAAGAAACCAGTGCCTTTGATCTGCATTAAGTCAGTGTGTCCCAAACATACATTCAGGGGGTGGGCTTTGGGCCCATTTAGGGCAAGGGTAGTTATGTATATATAGACATCTCTGTACTTAGCAGCAAGCAGCAGGAAAGAAGTGTGAAATGAGAGTTTATTGCTGAGTGAAAACTGGGATTGCCCCTAAGGTAGATGGAGCTTATGTGCTTTGCTTTTTTAGTAGGTGAGAAATCAGATGTAGCTGGGGGTTCTGGTTACACTCTGGGACTTTGCTCAGCCTATCAGGGGATTATTTCCCCAACTTTGGACCATAAGTCAAATAAGAGTCCTGTACATTCTTCGCTCCTCAAAATTTCCCTCTTCCTAAAATGGATAGAGTAATGCAAGTCTTTGAGATTAGAAGGAAAAATGAATTTAAGTCATAATTAGCATCTTTGAGCTTCTTGCCATATTTGGGGCATAGCCTGGTGAAATGGGGCAAGGCGCGGGGGTGGGGGCGGGGAAAATGAGGGCAGTCCTTGCTAGAGGTCCCAGCTGCAGGGCCTGGGAGGGGTCCAAATGGAAAAAGCAGAGATGGCAAATAGGATTCAGTTCCCATGCTGGGTGTAATGGTTTGGTAGTGGCTGTCTGGAGCTCTGTGTCAAGGGGGATTTTAAGTCTTGCTTTAGCGGAAAAAAAACAGGAAAGAGTGATGTGATCGATTAAGAATGGCTACCATGGATATCTAATTGGGATCTTCTGTCCCTGGGCAAGAGCAGGAGGGCCAGGAGAAGAAACAGCTTCCAGAAACGGGTTCAATGGATGGAGCCTTCACTATAAGGCTGGTGGAGAAGTCTAGGTCCTCATGGGATAAGGAACTGGGGCTCAAGAGCAAAACAGAAAAAAGCCAGTTATCAGGCCTGGGGCTTGAAGTCAGAGGGGCATGAACAGCTAGGGGATGTGACGCACAGTCCCAGAGCACTGGGCTTGAGCACCTTCAATCCCACCTGCACAGGACCAGGATGGGGATGCATGGACTGTGCTGTGGCCCCGGTCACCTGGAATGGTGACCCGGCAAGGCTGCCTGCTGTGGCAGCCTATTCTGACTCATTCTGGAAAGAACACAGATTGGGTTCCTTGGGGCTCCAGAGTCCTGTTGGCAATGCTGACCTCTCCACCCTAACCTCTTCTATCCAGCCTCTGCTGAGGGACTGGCCAGGCCTGGACAAGTCATTTGGGAAGTGTCTGCAATCAGAAGAAAAAGAAAATAGCAAGGACCTGGGAGATCCATTAACTTTTCCACCCTGTGTCCTGACACCTGATTTTCCACTAGGGAAATTCATAGGATGCCTCTGCCTCCTTGACCTCTGTGGCCCTGGCTGGGCCTCCTGACTTTGTTGCTTCATCTCATCCTTCAGAAGATGACCTTGCATCAACTCAGGCAAAGCTTAACACCCAGGATTTCCCACCCCACCCTCCAACATCCTGTCCCTTGTGCAATCCCAGTTTCTGCTACAAGCCTGTGCACATTCCTATCTGAGGACAGAAGAGGTCGTGATGGGCTCACAATTAAGTTTCTGGAGCACCAGAGTGGAGCCAATTAGTACGCAAGGCCTAAACAAATCTTGTGCAGCAGGCTGGGGTTGACGATCTGGTCTTAGGGTTTTTGGGCTCTCAGCAGAACTGGCTAAGGAGAGGAAGCGATAAGGAGGCAGCTCCTTCCACCCTCCCACTCCCCTCAAATAACAGGACTACGGAAAGCAGCCTTTGACTGGTGCCCAAGACATACAAATCAACCCCCTAGCAGCATTTCATCTTCCCAGGTTGGCTGTCAGAGAAGCCTCTTATTTCTTCCCCAGGGTCCCAGGGCCTTTGTCATTTTTCCTCTCCTGCTCACTGTGCAACCACCATTCTATCCCAGTACCAGCGAGAAGTGTTCTTTCCAGGTCCTTCTCCCTGGCTCCTCCACCTTCCAAACCACGAGTACACAGGGTCCATTTAATGATGTCTCTATGTAGAAATAGACAAGAGAATAGGGAGTGTCCTCAGAGAACTTATAAACCCTTTGTACCAGGAGGAAAAGAGGAAGCAGGGCAGTGACTGACCTACAGTGACATGGGAGGCCAGTGATGCCTCCAGGTCTCACTCTTCTTGGGGGTACATCTGTTCCTCCTAACAAGATTGTACATTCTTTGTGAGCAGGAACTATGTCCACACATCTTCAAAGATCCATAAGGTCTTGCAGCGTCTGGCACATAGTATGTGCTCAATAAATGTTTCGTTCCCTCATTCATTTTTTCCCACAAGATTTATTGAGTGCCTCTTATGTGCCAAGCATGGGGACTACAATGATAAACAGGGCTGTGGAGCCCTGATTTCAAGGAACAATGACTAGAGGAAGATGTGAACACCTATAATTGCAAAAGAAGATAAAAAGTCATGATAGACTCTGTTAGGGTGGAGAGTTATCTAAGGCTTCCCAGGGAGACTTGAAGGGTCAGTAGGACCTTGTCAGGTGTTAATGAAGAGAAATAATTATGGCAGACAAAGGGAACAGACTTTGCCATTCCTGGGAAGCATGGAGGCACCCGCGGGATGTTATTACTTAAGTGACCAGACTGAAATGCAAATGATAGAGGCCTTTCTTTCTCATAATCTCTTCTCTGAAACCCTTCATTATCCTCCTCTTAGTGTGGAGGGGATTGGTGGTAGGTGGGAAAGAAGGAGCTCAGCTATCTTATCCTCCTCTCAGTTCTTCTTTAGACCACCTCTCCCCTTTCAACTCTCACACCTAATAAGAGAGGCGAAAGGGTGACAGCATGGCATAATGGTTAAGAGCAGAGACTTTGGAGTAAGACTTTCTGAGATCAAATTAGGCTTTGCTACTTACTAGCTATGTGATCTTAGAACACCCTCTCTGTGCCTCTGTTTCCTATTCTATATAATGAAGACAGCAGCAGAACCTACTTCGTAAGGTTACCGTGAGAAGGAAATAAGCCGTGTACAGCACACAGGAATAGCACCTGCACATCAGAAATGGTTAGTAAGTGCTAGCAATCTTTACTAATCCCATTTCAATTGCTAATGTTACAGAATTACGATACCTTGGGTTCTCTCCGGAGCATCTCTTATTTCAGACTCTGTAGAACTGGCTCCTGAAGCCAGTAGTTCTCAAACTTTGGTGTGCATCTGGATTCCCTGTGGTGCCACTGAGGCAGCCAAGGAGACTCTGCCTCTGGAGATTCGCATTCAGTGGTTCTGCATAGGGGCCCAGGAGTCTGTAATTTTAACGGTCTCTCCAGGTCTTTCTCATTAACACCAAGGACTGCAGTGTTGGGCCATTTGTTTCCCTTTCAGATTTAGGGACTTGAAGATCTTGCCCTATCTCTCCTGTCCCTCAGGGCTGGATTAACTGAAGGACTTTGTTACCTTAGAGAAGCACACCTGGGAGAGGGATGTGAATGTATTTGCATCTTGTTAGCCATCAGGAAGGGACGTGGACAATCTGGTATAATGGAGAAGGGGTCAGTGCCAATGATGAAGATCCCCATAGGGGTGTGAGTAGGTGGGCAGGCACAAATGCCCACATGTGCTTGACACCGCAACTCAGCTTCCAGCGCTCTAGCTACAGTGGAACTGAGGGAGGGCAGGGTGTAGAGAAGGGAGCTCCAGGCCAAATTTCTTTGTCACTTTGGCAACACCTGCACCACCTTCTGGCCCAGGGCTTTGGCTGCCGTCTTTGCCCTCAGCCTCTGCCACAGGTCCACAGTCTTCCTTGTTCACCCCAGCAGGTTGCTTCCTGCATCATGCTGTCCACTGCACTGCTTCATGTCTCCTGGGCCACAGGGCTGTTTTTGTAGGCCTTTCATAATCTGCTCCTCCTCTCCAATTAGCCTTATACAAGTCAGTTCTGCTCTGCAAGTTGCTGAGGTTAACTAGAACACAGAGACTGGCCCAGAGGGGTTAAAGTGGTGAAATGAAAAGAAGGGTGTATCATCCTGGGAGCACTGAAAGGAAGTGATATAAAAGTGATGGGGACAGGTGCAGTGGCTGATGCCTGTAATCCCAGCACTTTGGGAGACCAAAGTGTGTGGATCACAAGGTCAGCAGTTCGAGACCAGCCTGGCCAACATGGTGAAACCTCGTCTCTACTAAAAATACAAAAAATTAGCCAGATGTTGTGGTGCATGCCTGTAATCCCAGCTACTTGGGAAGCTGAGGCAGGAGAATCGCTTGAACTCAGGAGGCAGAGGTTGCAGTGAGCTGAGATCCCAGCTACTGGGGAGGCTGAGGCAGGAGAATCACTTGAACCCAGGAGGTGGAGGTTGTAGTGAGCTGAGATTGCACCACTGCACTCCAGCCTGGGCAACAGAGCAAGACTCTGTCTCAAGTTTAAAAAAAAAAAAAATGATGAGCCGGCTGGGCTTTGGGAGGCCAAGGTAGGTGGATCACCTGAGGTCAGGAGTTCGAGACCAGCCTGGCCAACATGGTGAAACCCCATCTCTACTAAAAATACAAAAATTAGCCAGGTGTGGTGGCTGGTGCCTGTAATCCCAGCTACTCGGGAGGCTGAGGCAGAAGAATCGCTTGAACCTGGGAGGTGGAGGTTGTGGTGAGCCAAGATCACGCCATTGCACTCCAGCCTGGGTGACAAAATGAAGACTCTGTCTCAAAAAAAAAAAAAAAAAAAGTGATGGGCCTCTGGGATGATGGCCCCAACCATTGGGATCACACAGCCGCTGGGGAAATAAACCCCCAAAATGCTGTTTGAGCAAGATGGCCAAAAAATGGTACCCTTGCCGCCACACCCACTCTGCATCAGTCAATCCTGGCACTCAAGACCCAGAGAGGCTGCAAATGCTTCTCAATGGAGTGCCTGAGGGAGCCACCACCATGTTTGGGGATTGATGTGAAGGTAACACTTAGTGGGCATCCCCGTCTGGAAAAATAAGCGAAGCAGCTGAGCTTCACCACATATTAAAAAACCAGCCCTAACAGATATCTGGTGAAGATATCTTCACCACAGGCAAAATAGGAAAGTAAGAAAGAGGCAGGGGTGAGCAGAGACTGGCTCCTCTTCTTCCTGGGAACACAGCTACCCTACATTTCCCAGCCTCCCTTGTGGCCATTTGACTGGGCTCCAGCCAATGGAATGTGAGGAGAAGCCACGGGCCTCTTCCAGGCCTGGTGCGTAAGTCTACCCCACACAGTCCTTTGCGATTTTCCTCTCCCACTTTGGGAGCCAGTGGATGAAGAGGGTGGAACCATAGAATAGAAGGAACCCAGATACAGATCACTGTTCAGAGGAGAGCTGCCTGCCAGTCAGGAAGACCCATTTTGGACTTTATGTGAGCAAAAAATACCTTCTTTCCTTCCTTCCCTCCTTCCTTCCTTCCTTCTTTCTTTTCTCTCCTTCCTTCCTTCCTTTCTCTCTCTCTTTCTTTTCCTTCCTTTCTTCCTTCCTTTCTCCTTCCTTCCTTTCTCCCTTCCTTCCTTCCTTCCTTCCTTCCTTCCTTCCTTCCTTCCTTCCTTCCTTCCTTCCTTCCTCCCTTCCTTCTTTCGACTCACTATGTTGCCTAGGCTGGTTTCAAATTCCTGGGCTCGAGAGATCCTCCCACCTCAGCCTCCCAAAGTGCTGGGATTACAGGCGTGAACCACCATGCCTGGCCAAAAACTAGATTACTGTCATATTTGATCCATAGAGAGTTTTAGGTTTATTATAGCAGTTAGTGTTATCTTAACTAACGCAAGGTGGAAGGGTAGGACTTGCAGAGGCCCATGGCTGAGAGACCTTGATTAAGGTTGGAGGGGGAACAATATGGCAGTCTTAGACCCCAGGGGGAAAGTCCTCTCTTGTCCTGGGGTCCAGGAAAAAGAAGAGGACTGGGGGCAGAGTGGAGGCATAGGCCATCCCAGAGTGGGGAGGAGAAAGGGAAGAAGGAAAGGGGACCCCTGGGGAGGCTGAGGCACAGACTCTAGGAGGGACTCTGCAGCTCTTCTACTGGCACCTCCGGTCTCCTGAATGCCAACGCTGCTGACCACTCTCCTTCCTCTTCACCACCTCTCCACTTTGGCCCCCTTTTCCCTTCTGTATTTCCTCCCATTTTCTGCCAGTGGTAAGGAGGGCTTTACCACTTTTTTGGAGTAAGGTCAGAGAAGACCTTTAAGAAATGCCAGCTCACAGAGAGAAATAACATAAACTGGTTCAAATGTTAGCTGAAGAGAGGCAGCTGCCTTTCATATTTGTACCAACAAAGGTTAAGTAAATCAATCACCCTTCAGAGTTAGTTCTCAGGGGAGGGAAAGGAGGAGGAATTTGTGATCTGAGGCCAGCAGTCTTAGCTGAGAGTCTGGTGCATTTCAAGGGAGAGAAAACCTTTAGTTAAAAGCTATCTTAGTGGTAATCCAAAGGGAAATTGAGCCAAGTGAAGTGCAAAGTAATTTCTGACCTTGGGACAAAGGGAAGGCAAAACTACGCCAGCTCCCAGGCCTGAAGGGAACACTTAGTTGATTAATGCTGTGCCTGCAGGCTCTGTTCACTCTAATAAAATGATATTTAAAGGTGCAGGGTTTACCAAGCTGTGGTCTCTAAGGGAGCACAGAAGATTTCTAGAAAGGGTTCCAGGGCCTTCACGGTATGCTCCGTGCTTGCGCCCGCCACCCCTCTTGTCTGTAGACTGTCACTGGGTACAGTGACAGTCTGCAGTGCTGTTTTGATTCCTCAGAACCTTTTATGAAGGACAACTTCCAAAGAATTAGACCCTGGAGCTCCCTTAAATACAAGCCAATGAAAATGGCATTTTTTCCCCCTAGAAATGCTCTGACCTTAAAAGGAATATTGGAGGCAGGAGGAAACAGAGGAAGCAAGAAGAATTTCCTGGAAGGTAATTATTGTAATATAAGCATACTTCGGAGATATTGCAGGTTCCGTTCCAGACCACTGCAACAGTGAATATCTCAATCAAGTGAGTCACATGAATTTTTTGGTTCCCTAGTGCATATAAAAATTATGTCTATACTATACTAGGGTCTATTAAGTGTGCAATAGCATTATGTCTAAAAAACATTGTACATACCTTAATTTAAAAATGCTTTATTGATAAAAATGCTAATGAACATCTGAGGCTTCAGCAAGTCATAACCTTTTTGCAAGTGGAGGGTCTTGACTCATGTTGATGGCTGCTGACTGATCAGGGTGGTGGTCACTGAAGACTGAAGTGGCTGTGGCAATTTCTTAAAATAAGATGACAATGAAGTTTGCCACATTGATTGACTCTTCCTTTCATGAAAGATTTCTCTGTAGCATGTGATGCTGTTTGATAGCATTTTACCCAGAGTGGAACTTGTTTCAAAATTGGAGTCAATCTTCAGCTCTACTACTGCTTTATCAACTATGTTTATGTAATATTCTAAATCTTTTGTTGTCACTTCAACAATGTTCACAGCATCTTCACCAGGAGTAGATTTTATCTTAAGAAGCCACTTTCTTTGCTCATCCAGAAGCTACAACTCCTCATCATGAGATTTCAGCAGTTCAGTTCCATCTTCAGGCCCTATTTTTAGTTCTCTTTAGTTCTCTTGCTATTTCCACGACATCTGCAATGACTTCCTCAACTGAAGTCTTGAACCCCTCAAAGTAATCCATGAAGGTGAGAATAAACTTCTTCCAAATTCCTATTAATGTTGATATTTTGACCTTGATTGTTCTTAATGGCATCTAGAATGGTGAATCCCTTCCAGAAGGTTTTCAACTTACTTTGCCCAGATTCATCAGAGGAATCATTATCTATGGCAGCTATAGCCTTACAAAATGTATTTCTTACATCATAAGACTTGAAAGTTGAAATTATTCCTTAATCCATGGGCTTCAGAATGGATGTTGTGTTAGCAGGCATGAAAACATTCATCTCCTTGTGCGTCTCCATCAGAACTCTTGGGTGGCCAGGATTATTGTCAACGAGCAGTAATATTTTGAAAGGAATCTTTTTTTCTGAACAGTATGGCTCGATAGTGGACTTAAAATAGTTCATAAACCATATTGGAAACAGATGCGCTGTCATCCAGGCTTTGTTGCCCTATTTATAGAGCATAGGCAGAGTATATAGGGTCTCACTCTGCTGCCCAGGCTGGAGTGCAGTGGCAAAATCATAGTTCCCTACGGCCTTGAACCCTTGGTCCCAAGAAATCTTCCTGCTTTAGCCTCCAAAATAGCTGCAGCTACAGGTACACACCATCACACCTGGCTAATTTTTTTTTTTTTTAATTTTGTAGAGATGGGGTCTGGCTCTGTTGCCCAGGCTGGTCTTGAACACCTGGGCTCAAGTGATTCTCCCATCTCAGCTTCTCAAAGAGCTGGGATTACAGGCATGAGCCACTGCTCCTAGCCGCATAATTCCTTAGAGTTTTCAAAATGGTAAATGAGCATTGGCTACAACTTAAAGCCACCAGCTGCATTAGCCCCTAACATGAGAGTCAGCCTATCCTCTGAAACTTTGAAGCCAGGCATTGACTTCTCCTCTCTAGCTATGAAAGTCTTAGATGGCATTTTCTTCTTTAAAGAAGCCTGTTTTATCTACATTGAAAAGCTGTTGTTTAGTGTAGTCACCTTCATAAGTTACCTTAGCTAGATCTTCTAGATAACTTGCTGTAGTGTCTACATCAGCATTTGTTGCTGCACCTTGTACTTTTATGTTATGGAGATGACTTCTTTCCTTAAACCTAATGAACCAACATCTGCTAGCTTCTGCAGCTTCCTGACCTCTCTCAGCCTCTTCTATGGGATTGAAGAGAGTTAGGGCCTTGCTCTGAATTACGATTTGGCTCAAGGGAGTATTGTGGCTGGTTTGATCTATCCAGACCACTAAAACTTTCTATCAGGAGTAAGGCTGTTTTCTTTCTTATCATTCATGTGTTCACTGGAATAGCACTTTTAATTTTCTTCAAGAGCTTTTCCTTTGCATTCAAAACTTGGCTGTTTGGCACAAGAGGCCTAGCATTCAGCCTATCTCAGCTTTGGACATACCTTCCTCACTAAGCTTAACAGTTTCTAGCTTTTCATGTAAAGTGAGAGACATGACTCTTTCACTTGAACACTTAGAGGCTATCCTAAGTTTATTAATTGGCTTAATTTCAATGTTGTGTGTCTTAGGGAATAGGGAGGCCCAAGGAGAAGAAGAGAGATGGGGGAAAGCTGGTGGGAGCAGTCAGAACACACACATTTATCCATTGAGTTTGCCATCTTACGTGGGTGCGGTTCATGATACTACAAAACAATTACAGTAGTAGCATCAGAGATCACTGATCACAGGTCACCATAACAGGCATAATAATAATAAAAATGTTCGAAATAATATGAGAATTACCAAGATGTGACACAGAGACAGGAAGTGGCCACATGCTGTTGGAAAGATGGCACCAATAGATTTGTTTGACACAGGGTCGTCACCGACCTTCAAGTTTTTTAAAAAGTCATGTCTGCAAAGTGCAATAAAGGAAAGTACAATAAAATGAAGTATGACTGACTATAAAACTTCAGATCTAAAACTATCTGAGAACTGGTAGCAACAGTATAATGTAGAGGAAAAAGCATGAGTTCTGGAATCCTGGAGTTATGAATATATCTTTATTTCACCCTCCTTTAGGAAGAACAGATTTTTCTAGGTACACAATTTCAGGTTGAGAGGTTTGTTTTTTCTTTCTCTCAATATGGTTCCACTTCCTTCGAGCTTCCGTTATTACTCTTGGGGATTATACAATAAATCTATGCCATTATTTTGCAGGTGATTTCTCTTTTCTGTCTTACTGGTTATAAGATCTCTTTGACTCTATTATTTTTCAGTTTTTCTGAAATGTGTCTAGTAACGAATTTAGTTTTGCTTATTCTGCTTGGTATATGTTGTATCCTCTATCTATGGACTCATGTTTCTCCTCTGAGAAATTCTCTTCAAATATTCACTGTCTTCTCTCCTTCTGGAATTCTGATTAGATGTTTATTCAATTTCTCATTCTATCTTCCATTATTGCTTCATGCCTTTACGTATTCTGTTAGTCTTAATAATTTCTTCAGATTTCTCTTCGGGTTTACTAATTTTCTCTTCAGCTATATTTAATCTTCTACTTAAACTCTTTATTATGTTTTAAAATTCAAAAATTATTTCATCATTTACTAGCTTTGTGGCCTTGGACAAGTGTCTCCACCTCTGTGTGCTATTTTTCTCACCTGTGGAATAGGATAATAATTATCCTTACATGATTGTGATGGAAATTAAGTATGTTGATACACAAAGCCAGTGATCCATGCTATTATAATAAATGCCCAATAAACATAAGATTCTTACAAATTCCAGAGGTTGGCCGGGCACAGTGGCTCACACCTGTAATCCCAGCACTTTGGGAGGCCGAAGCAGGTAGATCACTTGAGGTCAGGAGTTCAAGACCACCCTGGCCAACATGACAAAACCCCATCTCTACTAAAAATACAAAAATTAGCTGGGCATGATGGTGCACGCCTGTAGTCCCAGCTACTTGGGAGGCTGGGGTGGGAGAATCGCTTGAACCCAGGAGGTAGAGATTGCAGTGAGCCGAGACTGCACTACTGCACTCCAGCCTGGGTGACAGAGTGAGACTCTGTCTCAAAAAACAAACAAACAAAAACTTCCAGAGGTCATTCTGATGATTGTATGAACCTCCGTGATTCTGATTCTAACTCATCTCAGAGAACTAGGAGTCTTCTCTCAGAATCACCTGGAACAGACTTCACAAACACTTCAGAAAGCCTTTATCATATCTCACAACTCATAAAGAAGTAGACGTTTTCTGTTGGTTCTAACCCCATTATGCTACAACAGGATCTCATGTCTTTGTGTCTTCTTATCCTCAAAAGGAAGATGACCACGGCCCCTCTGTTCCCTCGCCTGTGTGCCAAATGGATCCACAGCTAGAGACAAGCTCCTTCCCTTTGAACGGTGGGAAGCAGGCCAAGATGTTTTAAAGACAGATGGCATCAGATGCAGAGAAGCAAGGTTAGGCTTGATTCATCTAAACCTGTCCCCTTCAGAGCCCCCTCCCACACCCTTCCCCTGACAACTGAGTGATAAAATTCTGTCCCTGGATGAAGTCAACAATCCTTATCATGACAGAAAACTGCAAATATTTGGTGTTTTTCCATTGCACACAGGGCTTAAGGGAACATAGGGAATCTCAAAACAGAAATGTGTTTGGGGGTGTGTGTATGTGTGTGTGTGTTCAATCCTTTCTTCAAAATATTTCAGCTCCTCTATTTTTAGAAGATGATGACATTCTCCCAGCATTTCAACCAGGTTTTCAGAAGTCACGAGGCTCAGTCCTGCACGCACACAATCACATCTGCCTATACAAAGACACAGAGAAACATACATAGCTACTCACACATAATTCCATACACGTTTAAATGCCCAGGCATCTAGAAAATGACCCTCACATATGCCCGTCTACACACATACATGTATACCTGCATCTGGGTTCACAACAGACCACACCCTAACACATACATACACATACACACCACACTCTAACACATAATGTGAATAAATAGAAACTAGTAAATAGAGCTATTTCTGCAGTGCCCCTGGCATATACTCACATGAAGTGCATGTGCAAAGTACATCTGTGTGTGGTTAATTCACCATCAGATTTTAGGGTAGTAAAGGCAATCACCTATTTTCAGGGCATGTCAGAAATCTAGCTGAATTCCTAAACCTGCTAGATTCCCCATCTCCTTCTTCTGTCCTTGGCCCTCAAGTGAAATGACCTAACTTCAAATGGACTCAGGGGCTGGGGGGTTATTCCAGCTCAGAACAGGAGATCCTTGAACATGGACCCTTGAAAGGGCCCATGGAGGCTAGGCAATGTCTACTATGAAAAGAGAAATAAATAGCTCCACCATTGGAAACAAGTGTCCAGAAAGCTGCAAGTTTATCCTGTACTATAGCCAATGAACAACCAGGTGGTGATCACATCCCCGGGGAAGCGGGGAGGGCGATGCAGGCACACATGGGGTCCTGTTGTAGGAGAGAGACCAGAGGGCAGGAAGGGAGGAAAATCTGAATCCATAAGCTTTCTCTTTATGCAAACCAGACTCATAAGTTTTATTTATTTCAGCTGGAACTCGGAGCACAGCTGCCTTATTTACTTACCTACTGGCTGCATTTCTGAGAACCAGTTTTATTCCTGTTCAAAGGAAGCCAGGCAGAGTTGGGAAAATATTTTCCTAGCCAGCTCCTTAGCACCACTGTCTGAGGGAAACCATCTGGCCAAGATGCCCTTCAAGTGAGTAAATGCAGTATTGCCCTCTCCCTGCACAGGGGAGGGGGCATGCACCAGACAGGGAAAATGGCAGGCTCCTGGGGTGGGCTGAAGCTGTGGTTCTTCCCACTGACCCTCCTGGGCCCCTGGAGTCCAGTGATGTGCTGGTAAAGGTTTAACAATCAGCTGTCTGGGAGGTAGGGGTGGGGCATTGCCTTGCAGTGTTTGCTGATTTCCATGGCCTGTTTGGAACTACCAAAGTGAAGTCACTGAGTGTGGGGTTAGGAGGAGATGCCCAGGAGTACCCCATTTCAGAGTATTTCTACCACGTAGATGCAGTAGGGGGTATGTAACCTCAAGAGTGAAGATACTAATCAATACAGTAAAATAATTAGCAAGTGATGAGTTTTGAGTACTTATTACTTTTATTTTTAATGTGATATAATTTTAAGTTTATATAATTTATTTTCAAATGACATATGCCTTTAACAACTGGCTCTCAGAGTTCTGGAAAATTTCACTGTCAGTTCTTGCAAGGCAGGATGGGCTGGCTCCGGAGCACTGCTGCTGGAGTCCCTCTTTTACTTAGAGTCAGAGAATAAATATGCCAGTGTTAAGATCACTCCCTTTAGAAGCTCAGGGCGTATCATGGGAGATTTAGTGAGGGCTCTACTTCCTTAAGGAGATTTTGTCTTCAGAAGGCAGAATAGACACCTGCTTGGGAAAGAACAGAGGTTGAAAAACACCATGTATGGGTTTTTTTTTTTTTTTTTTTCGGTTCTACCCACCATGTGTACTTGACCAAGACAGCACAGCACACAAGTTGCAGGTTCTGCCTTGCCTGGGCAGCTCCTGACTGTATATGCTTCAGCTTATAGAGTCAAAACAACTTGGCAACATCTAGCTTTATTCCTCCGGGACCCTTGTGCTCTAAGGATAGTTCTCTGGCTGCAGTACCCTGGCATTTTCCAGGTCTCAAGCTCTAGCCTCTTTACCAGTTTAGCAGGATGGTGCTAGTGGGTCTGTGGCCATAAGATTTTCCATTATTTCCTACAGCTTGTCTAGAGGAGTTGGGATATTTCTTGTCTCCCAGAACTCTCTCATGGGAAAAATTCTTACATGAGAGACAGAACACTTTACCCAACTGGAGTCAGGGAAAGTTACACATCTGTCCTGACCTCTGAGCTTCTGAAAAATCACTGAGCTTTATCAAAAGCACACAGGTCCAGAAGTGGAAATTTATAAGACAAAAGAAAATAGGAAATGAAAGTTGGAGGGGAAACCCTCTTAGTGTTGTTGCAATGCCAAGAACTGGGGGAGGGTTTACGGCTCTAGTAGTTTGCTGAAGGATGAACAGGACATGCCAGGGACCAGAGGGTCAGAACAACAGATAATCAGAAATGAAGAGGTCAATGGGTGGGAAAGTAGGAGTGAATGGTGTTGATAGATTTGTTTCTACCATTTTAGGGTTGTTCTGTAATGGCTGCCTATAGTCACAATCACGCCCACAATTCTTCCTACTCATTAAGACCTCTGCTACCCTAGCCCTGAAATTTTCCTTCATCCCCTCCTGTCTTCACTTCCTTCCTAACCCAGTATAGATTCTATGGCCCTTCATAACCACCCCTTTGGGCATGTCCTGGTCTTCCTCCAACATACCTTCCCAGCAAAACCCTAACCTTATGTAGATCCAGCTCTCTGCTCATTCTATACCATTCCAAGAAAGCAAACGTGGCCAGAGGAAAACCGCAACCGTGTGGACTGATTCTACCCTGAATACAAGATGATGCATCTCTAACGAGGCTCAGAACTGCCTGGAAGTCCAGCTACACTTCCCTAGTCAATCCACGCCCTCAATCCCCAGCTACAGTGGACCAACAGCCCTTACTCCTATTGAGGCAGCTCCCCCACCCCCATCCCCACTTAAACATTGGATCGATCCCATCTCCTGTCTACTTGGGACCTTTGGTCCTGCTGATATCCCCTCTCCCTCTTGAAACATCACTTATTTCCTTTCTACTGAATCAAAACTCCAAATTTCTTATGACATTTAAACTTCTCCTCTCTCTCAGCCTTTGTCTGCATCAGGCCAGGAGCTGCAGTGGGGAATAATGGATGGTGATGAACTTCATCTGTTTCCCTGCTGTGTACATCTCCTCCTCCTCCCCTTCTCACTAGGCTGCCTCTTGTCCTCTGGGGCTGCTGCTCTGGGAGAGGGAGGAGATGCAAAGAGCAGGAAAGGTCTTGCTCGGCTGGTACTGTTGTAGGATAGCACAGAATTTTCTGGCCTTGGCAGGTGTTTAAAGCTGACTTTCTTCTCTTGGGTCTTACATAGGTTTCTTACACAGGGGTTGGGCTTCTCTGCTGGCAGCTTCCTTGATACTGACCCTGCCTTTCCTCCAGCTCTCCATTCATCACCCCTCCCTTAGCGCCTATGCATCCTTTAGTCCACACCATACAGACTCTTGTGGGGACCCCATTGTTCCTCCAGGCAGGCTATATGAACAGCATCCCCAGGCCACCATCCCTTGCTGGGCTCTCATCAGCATTTTGGTCCTACTGTCATGGGATTACGGCTACTTCCCAACACAACAGTCTTTACTTGGCTATGCCCAGGCAGATAACCAGCCACAGGTTCTTGCCTTCATTACCTTTGCAGGCGTGGGTCCAGCTCCAGTCGCTTATTTCTATTATGGTCGCCAAGTGGTTCCTGAAAGCCCCAATCACTTGTTTTCATGTGAAGGGCAGGCTTCTTCCTCAGAACATTTCTCCATCTTTCTCCAAGGAAATCAAGTTCTGTCTCTCTCCACTTACTCCCCACTTTCCATCTCAATCTTTAACACCTGTAAGTGCTTGATGTGCTCAGGGTTGTAAAGTGGGTTCTTCAATATCTCAGTTGTGTGTCCCTTGTAGATGGTTTAGCCCTCACTCTGGAATGTGGGCTCATTTTGCACCTATCAGTTTGCGCCAAGCCTTTGGGCTCTCCTTCAAAACTGAGGAAGAAAGAGTTGTGTATTAGCATCTTGTTTCACACATCCCTATCCACCCATGGCTATCTCCACAACCCCCAAATTTGGTTGGCTTCTTCACCAAATACTTCTCTCTAGGAATGCTCCTCCAGCACCCCTGACTCATTGAGCCCAGGCTGGAGTGTAGTGGCGTGATCTTGGCTCACTGCAGCCTCTGCCTCCCGGGTTCAAGCCATTGTCCTGCCTCAGCTTCCTGAGTAGCTGGAATTACAGGTGTGCACCACCACGCCTGGCTAATTTTTGTATTTTTAGTAGAGATGGGGTTTCACCATGTTGGCCTGGCTGGTCTTGAACTCCTGACCTCACACAATCCACCCGCCTCGGCCTCCTAAGTGCTGGAATTACAGGTGTGAGCCACTGTCCCCAGCCCTCTTCCTGACTTTAAAGTTTTCGTTGTAATTTTCTTTTCTTCTCTTCCTCTGTTTTTTTTTTAAATTAATATTTTATTTTATGATTTGTTTATGTAATAGCCAGCATGAAGGGTGGGTGCAGGGATGATGGCAGGAGGAAGAGGCCACACTGCACAGCGGAATGACAGACCTCTCCCTGCTGTCCTCCTGAGCCGCCCTGCAGTCCCACTCAGAGCTTTCTGCAGTAGGCAATCGTCTTGCTTGGGGGAAGCCAGCATCTTTTGAGCATGCTCTCTGCCATCTTTGGTGTAAGGGTTTTACTCTTCATATATGTCATCTTGGTGTTATAAAATCCAGAATGCTTTTCCTCTGAGTATCACGTCCATGTTCTGGAAGATAGAGGACGGGATGGAGTCTGTGTCAGAAAAGCACAAGCTTCCCCCATAAATTCCCAGCACTCTTCTGCTTGTGTTTCATTCACCAGAGCTGTGTGTGCATCCCTAGCTCTAAGGGAGTCTAGGAAAGTGAGAATAATAGAAAACTCCCTAACTTTGTCAAAGCCTTCCATTTTGTTTGTTTTGAGATAATCTCAAATGTATAGTGAAGTTGCAAGTATAGTACAAAAACCTTTATTCCCCCTGAACTGCTGAGAGTAAGTCACCAGCCAATGCCCCAGCACTCCTGAAAAATTTAATGTGTATGTCCTACAAACAATGGATTTGTTTGTAGGACATGCTGCATGTTGCATAGCTGCATAGCTGCAATACAACCATGGGAATCAGGAAATTAACACTGGTATAGTATTGCCTGTTAATCCCTGGAGCCCATTCCTGTTTTGCCATTTGTCCCAAGGATCTCCTTTATAGCAAAAGTATCCAGTTTGGAATTCTGTGTAGCATTTGGTTGCCATGTCTCTTTGGTCTCTTATGTCTGGAACAGTTCCTCAGTCTTTCCTTGACATGACCTTGACAATTTTAGATTAGAGGCCAGTTATTTTATATAATAGATCTCTATTGGTGTGGGTTTGTTTGTTTTCGTGTGATTAGATTCAGGTTTTGCCTCTTTGGAAAGAAGATCACAGGAGTGATCTGGGTTCCCACTGCATCCTAGCAGGTGGAGCTCAATTCCAGTTTGTCCTATTACTGAAGATGTTTGCTTTGATTACTTAAACTGGTGTCTGCTGGGCTTCTCACTGTGACATTTTCCTTTTCCCTTTGTAACTAAAAAGAATCTTGCAGGGCAGTACTTCAAAACTATTCAGATATCCCACTTCTCATCAACCATGGAATTTACTCATTTATTTATTTAGGTTAGTTGAGACCAAGGGTCAGCTGTTTTGTGTAAAGGATCAGATAATAAATATTTTAGGTTTTGTGGTCCAGGGGGCAAAATCAAGGATAGTATATAGGTACTTTTATAATGAGAAATTAAAAATTTTTGCAAAATTGTCACTGATGAAATTAAAACTGTAATAATTATTGAGTAAATTTTTTTAATGCAGGTCTACTAATAAGAGAGGAATTCTTTTGTGAGGGTAAGATTTGACTTAATTTGGGTTCAAAGTGAGTGTTCCCTATTATCAAATTGATTGTAAATGTTCCCCTATAAAAACCATTCTTGGCCAGGTGCAGTGGCTCACGCCTGTGATCCCAGCACTTTGGGAGGCCGAGATGGGGCGGATTGCTTGAGCTCACGAGTTCAAGACAAGCCTGGCCAACATGGTGAAACCCTGTCTCTACTAAAAATACAAAAATTAGCTGGGCGTGGTGGTGCGTGCCTGTAGTGCCAGCTACTCGGGAGGCTGAGGCAGGAGAATCACTTGAACCCAGGAGGTGGAGGTTGCAGTGAGCCGAGATTGCACCACTGCACTCCAGCCTGGCGACAGAGCAAGACACTATCTCAAAAAAAAAAAAAAAAAAAGGGAATTAGCCAGGAGTGTTGGTGCACACCTGTAATCCCAGCTACTCGGGAGGCTGAGGCAGGAGAATTGCTTGAACCTGGGAGGCAGAGGTTGCAGTGAGCCGAGATCGTGCCATTGCACTCCAACCTGGGCAACAAGAGTGAAACTCCATTTCAAAAAAAAAAAAAAAAAAGAAAAAAGAAAAGAAAAGACAAAATGCTTTCTTCTTCAATCTATTCCCCCTGTAAGTAACCAATTTCCCATCCCTGTTGCTGCCCCTGTGCCATGTTGATGGCCCCCTCATCTGGCTTGGGCTCTGATATCCTCCAGTGGGCCACCCTTGTATGTGGACATCTTGTCTCCCCGTGCAGGCTCTGTAAAAGGTGCAAGCCACCCTTTTCCATCCATGTAGATGCCTCAGCATCTCACAGCCCATGACAATCTACTCTCCCCTGTGTGAATGGCCCTGCCCTGCTCAGGCTCTGACTCCCCATCACAAGCCATCCCTCTCTGTGGATGCCAACTTTCCTCTGCCTTACCTAATGGCTTCGGGAAGGGGAAGGTTACTTTTTTTTTTTTTTTTTTTTTTTTTGAGGCAGAGTCTAGCTCTGTCACCCAGGCTGGAGTGCAGTGGTGTGATCTCGGCTCACTGCAACCTCCGCCTCCTGAGTTCAAGAGATTCTCATGCCTCAGCCTCCCGAGTAGCTGGGACTACAGGTACCCATCACCAAACCCAGATAATTTTTTTTTTTTTGTATTTTTAGTAGAGACGGGGTTTCACCGTGTTAGCGAGGATGGTCTCGCTCTCCTGACCTTGTGATCCACCCGCCTCGGCCCCCCAAAGTGCTGGAATTACAGGCGTGAGCCACCGCGCCCGGCCAGGGAAAGGCTACTTTTAAAAATCTTTATAATTTAGCTGGGCGTGGTGGCTCATGCCTGTAATCCCAGCACTCTGGGAGGCCGAGGCGGGCAGATCACAAGGTCAGGAGTTCGAGACCAGCCTGGCCAGCATGGTGAAACCCCGTCTCTACTGAAAATACAAAAAATTAGCCGGGCATGGTGGCGCCTGCCTGTAGTCCCAGCTACTCCGGAGGCTGAGGCAGGAGAATTGCTTGAACCCAGCAGGCGGAGGTTGCAGTGAGCCAAGATCGCGTCAATGCCCTCTAGCCTGGGTGACAGAGTGAGACTCCGTCTCAAAAAAAAAAATTATATTTTGAAATACTCAGATTTTTTTTTAAGGAATAATAATTGCTAATGCTCTTGGTGCTTACTAGGTACTAGGCATTGTAGACACTTTAAACTGAGCTTGTGTAATCTTCACAGCCTCTGTAGGAAGTTGTATAATTATAATCTCTATTCATAGGTGTGGAAATTGAGGCAGAGAGAAGTTTAGTGACTTGTCCAAGGTCACACAGTTCATGAGTGATGGAACCAGGACTTGGATTCTTTTTGAGCTTTGTCCATATTTCAATGTATAGCTTTAGTTTATTCTTTTATATTGCTGTACAGTATAATATTGTATGAATATACCTCAATGTAATTATATTCTTATTAGTGAACTTTTAGTTTTACAATTTTTCACTATTAAAAGAATTTGAAATAAACTTTTTTTGTCTCTTTATGCAACTGTATGATTTTCTTTAAAATATGTATCTAACAGAAGAATAAGTTATGTGCATCTTCAACTTTATTAGATAGAGCCAAATTTCTCTTCCAAAATGATTTTACCAGTTTACATTCCAACCAGGAGTGAATGAGTTCATATTTTTTCACTTTCTTCCCAGTGTCCAGTACTGTCAGACTTTAAAAAATTTTTCAGTATGATGGGTATACTCATTAATTTTCTGAGTTACATGCCCCTGATTAATAGTAAAGTTAAGAATCTTTTTGCAAATATACAGGATTTGGGGTTTTCTCTTTTGTGAATTACTTGTTTATATAATTTGTCAGTTTGTCTACTGGGTCTATGCTTTTCTTACTGATTCTGAATAGGTCTTTTTTTTTTTTTTTTTTTTCTGAGATGGAGTCTCGCTCTGTTTCCCAGGCTGGAGTGCAGTGGCATGATCTTGGCTTACTGCATCCTCCACCTCCCGGGTTCATGCCATTCTCCTGCCTCAGCCTCCCGAATAGCTGGGACTACAGGCAGGTGCCACCATGCCCAGCTAATTTTTTTGTATTTTTAGTAGAGATGGGGTTTCACCGTGTTAGCCAGGATGATCTCAATCTCCTGACTTCGTGATCCGCCTGCCTCAGCCTCCCAAAGTGCTGGGATTACAGGCGTGAGCCACCACACCTGGCCGATTCTGAATAGTTTTTTATATAATATGAGTACAAATCTTTTATTCAGTTGTAAATAATTTTCCCTCTTATGTGGCTTGTCTTTTCATTTAGTAGATGGTAATTTGTTGTACAGAAGATTATAATTTTAAGTCAATCAAATTGATTGCTCTTTTGTAGCTTACATTTTCAATATTTTTTAAAAATTTATTCCCTACACAAAAGGCATAAAGATAAATCTATATTTTCTTCTAAAAGTTTTAAAGTTTTGCTTTTGAAACATTTAGGTGTCTACTTCACCTGAAATTTATTTTTGTGAATGTTATGAGGTAGATATCTAATTTTATTTTTTTCCATATGGATACCCAATTGTCGCTGCCTCATTTATTTAGAAGTCCATCCTTTCCCCGTTGGTTTAAGAATGCCATCTCTGTTGTTTATCAGGTTTCCACGTATATGTGGCTCTGTTTCTGGGTTCTCTAATCTGTTCTGCTTGATTGTCTATCCCTGTATGAATACCACACTCTTAACTACAATGGTTTTATAACAAGTCTTCATATTTGATAGGGCAAAACTCCCTTCCTCTGTCATAGCTGGCTTTGGCTGTTTGCATTTCCGTATTATTCTATAATCAGCTTGTCAAGCTTTTTGTTTCTTAGGAGTCTCGCTGTCATCCAGGCTGGAGTGCAATGGTGCAATCTCAGCTCACTGCAACCTCTACCTCCCTGGTTCAAGCGATTCTCCTGCCTCAGTTTCCCAAGTAGCTGGGGCTACAGGCATCCACCACCATGCCCAGCTAATTTTTGTATTTTTTAGTAGAGATGGGGTTTCACTATATGTTCACCAGGCTGGTCTGGAACTCGTGATCTCAAGTGATCCAACCACCTCGGGCCTCCCAAAGTGCTGGGATTACAGGTGTGAGCCAACACGCCCGTCCTGTTTCTTAGCTTCTTACAACTGTGTTGAAGTATAATTGATGGACAAAAACTGCACATTTTAACATGCACAATTTGATAAGTTTTGACATTAATATATATCTATAAAATCATAAGCACAATCATGTAAATGACCATACCTCTGGCAGACAGACTATAAAAGGGCCCCCAGTTGTCCCCCCTCCACCTGGTATCCATGCCCTGTGAACCCCATTGTGTGGGCAGGACCCACAGCTTTTTTCTAACCAAAAGAATAAATCGCTGCTGTGATTGTTTTATGTAAGAGTGCAATTTCCATCTTGCCAGTAGACTCTCTCCCTTGCTGCCTTTGATGAAGCAAGCTGCATGCTGTGAGCTGCCCTATGGGGATGCCCACATGGCAAAGAAGTGAGCGTGGCCCCTGGCCAATAGCCAGTGAGAAACTGAGGCTCTCAGTCCAATAACCCATAAGGAACTGCACCCTGCCAATCATCATGTGACCTTAGAAGCAGATCCTTCCCCAGGAAAGCGCTGAGATGAGTCTGCAGCCTTGTGAGGAACCCTAGAGCAGAGCACCCAGCTAAGCCATGCCTAGATTGCTGACCCCTAGTAATTGTGAGATGACAATTGTGTGTTGTTTTAAACAAATTTGTAGTAATCTGTTATGCAGCAATAAAAAACTAGTACAATATCCATTATTCCCAAAAGTTTTATTATGCCTCTTTGTAATCCACCACACCTTTTCCTCCCCAACTCCATCTCCAGGCAACTACTTGTCTGTTTTCTGCTACTATAATTTAATCATCTGGAATTTTACATAAATGGACTCAAACAGTATTTACTTTTTAAAAAAATTAATTTTACTTTATGTTCCAGATACATGTGCAGAATGTGCAGGTTTGTTACATAGGTATACATGTGCCATGGTGGTTTGCTGCACCCATCAACCCATCATCTAGGTTTTAAGCTGACATGCATTAGGTATTTGTCCTAATGCTCTCCCTCCCCTTGGCCCCCACCCCCCGACAGGCCCCAGTGTGTGTTTTTCCCCTCCCTGTATCCATGTGTTCTCATTGTTCAACTCCCACTTATGAATGAGAACATGCGGTGCTTGGTTTTCTGTTCCTGTGTTAGTTTGCTGAGAATGATGGCTTCCAGCTTCATCCATGTCCCTGCAAAGGACATGAACTCATCCTTTTTACGGCTGCATAGTATTCCATGGTGTATATGTGCCATGTTTTCTTTATCCAGTCTATCATTGATGGGCATTTGGGTTGGTTCCAAGTCTTTGCTGTTGTAAATAGTGCTGCAATAAACATACGTGTGCATGTGTCTTTACAGTAGAATGATTTATAATCTTTTGGGTATATAGCCAGTAATGGGATGGCTGGGTCAAATGGTATTTCTGGTTCTAGGGTGTGTGGTAGTATCTCTTTGTGATTTTAAATGCATTCGCCTATTGGCTGATGATACTGAGCATCTTCTCATGTGCTTATTTGCCATCCATACATCTTCTTTGGTGAACTGTCTCTTCAAATCTTTTCCCATCTTTTAATTGAGTTGTTTGTCTTCTTATTGAGTTTTAAGGCTTCTTTATACTTTCTAGATACAAGTCTTTTGTTTAATATATGTTTTGCAAATCTTTTCTCCCAGTCTACGGCTTGCTTTTTATTTTTGTAACAATATCATTCCAAGAGCAGAAATTTTAAATTTTCCTCTTAACAGAATAATGCTCCACCCTCAAAGATTTCTACAACCTAATCTCTGGGACTTGTGAATATATTACCTTTCATGGCAAAGAGGAATTAAGGTTGCAGATGGAATTAAGATTGTTAATCTGCTGACCTTAAAATAGAAAGATTATCCTGGATGATCTGGGTGGGCCGAAAGTAGTCACAAATGTCCTGAAAAACAAAAGAAGAAGGAGGAAGAGGAGGTCAGAATGATGCAATATGAGAAGGGCTCAACTAGCCATTGTTGGCTTTGAAGAGGAAGGAAGAGGGTCACAGCCAAGGAATGTACGAAGCCTATAGAAACTGGAAAAGGCAAGGACATAGATTCTCCCCTACAGCCTCCAGAAAGGAATTTGGCCTTGCTAACACCTTGACTTTTAGTCCAGGGAGATATATGTCAGACTTCTGACCTACAGACTTGTAAGATAATAAATTTATGAGGTTTTTAAAAGCCATTACGTTTATATAATTTGTGACAACATCAATAGGCGACTAATACAATTTCAATGATGTCCAATATATTGATCTTTAAATTAATTTTTTTATGTTTATTCGTTTATTTTTTAGAGACAAGGTCTCACTCTGTCACCCAGGCTGGAGTGCAATGGTGTGATCATAGCTCACTGTGACCTCAAACTCCTGGGCTCAAGAGATTCTCCCACCTCAGCCTCCTAAGTACCAGGACTATAGGTGTGACCATCACACCTGGCTAATTGTGTGTGTGTGTGTGTGTGTGTGTGTGTGTGTGTGTGTGTGTGTGTGTGTGTATAGGCATGGGGTCTCAACATGTTGCCCAGGATAGGATTGAACTCCTAGTCTCAAGCAATTCTCCCACTTTGGTTTCCCAAAATGCTGAGATTACAGGTGTGAGCCACCATGCCCGACCCAAGTTTTCCTCTTTATAGTTTGTGCTGCTTCTGCTTGCTTAAGCTAAGGTCACTAAGATTTTCTCCTTTGTTTTCTTCTACAAGTTTATATATTAGCTATTATATTTAGGTCTATGACCCACTTTGAGTTAATTCTGTATATGATATGAAGTAATTTTTTTTTTGCATTTAGTTATCCAATGGTTCCAGCACCATTTGTTGAAAAGATTCCTTTTCCTCATTCAGTCATTAGGCGCCTTTTTTGAAAATCAATTGACTGTATATATGGCTCTATTTCTGGGTTCTGTTCCATTGATTTATATGCCTGTCTTTATGCAAATACTACCCAGTCTTGCTTATTGTAGCTTTATAATTAATCTTGAAATTAGGTAGTATAAGTCTTCCTTGTTCTTATTTTTCCTATTTTGACTAGTCTAGGTCTTTTCCCTTTACATACAAATATCTACAAAAAGACCACTGGGATTTTGATTGGGATTGTGTAATATTGTAGGTCAATATGGGAAGAAATGATATCTTAACAATATTGACTCTTTGGATCCAGGAACATGAAATATTTCTCCATTTGTTTAGGCCTTCTTTGAGCTCTCTCAGCAATGTTTTATACTTTTCAGTGTAAAAGTCTTGCACATCTTTTTTCAAATTTAATCTATTTTCTATTTTTGATGCTGTTAAAATGGTACTTAAAACATTTCAATGTCCAGTTGTTTATTGCTAGTATATACAAATACACTTGATTTTACCTTCTATCAAGTAATCTTGTTAAACTCACACAAAAGTTCTAGTAGTCTTTTTTGTAGATTCCCTAGGATTTTCTACATAATCTGAAAATACAGAGAGTTTTACTACCACTACCTTCTTTCCAATTTGTATGCCTCTTTTCGTTTTTCTAGTCTTATAGCATTGGTTAAGACCAAATTGTTGAATTTATCACCATAAAGTTGTCATAATATTCCCTTATTGCCATTTTAAGGTCTGTAGGTTCTATGATGCTGCCTTCTTCTTCCTCACTCTTGATGTTGATCATTTGTGTCTTCTCTATTTTTTTCCCTAATTAATCTGGCTAGAGATTCAACTATTTTATTCATTTTCTCCAGGAATTAGCTTTTGGGTCCATTAGTTTTTTTCTATTTTTAAAAGTTTAATTATTTTGTGCTCTTATCTTTATTTCCTTTCTTTGGCTTTAATTTGTGCTTTTTCCTAATTCTCCAAGGTAGAAGCTGAGGTCACTGAAAATAAATCTGATATTACCTCTCTAATATTAATGTTTAATGCTACAAATTTTCCTCTAAACGCTACTCTAGCTACAGCCCATGTAATTGTATATGTCATGTTTAGTTTAGATTAAAGTATTTTCTAATTTCCCCTGTGAGTTTTTCTTTGACATATGGCTTTTTTGAAAGTGTGTTGCTTCAAACTATACTACAAGGCTACAGTAATCAAAACAGCATGGTACTGGTACCAAAACAGAGATATAGATCAATGGAACAGAACAGAGCCCTCAGAAATAACGCCACATATCTACAACTATCTGATCTTTGACAAACCTGAGAAAAACAAGCAATGGGGAAAGGATTCCCTATTTAATAAATGGTGCTGGGAAAACTGGCTACCCGTATGTAGAAAGCTGAAACTGGATCCCTTCCTTACACCTTATACAAAAATCAATTCAAGATGGATTAAAGACTTAAATGTTAGACCTAAAACCATAAAAACCCTAGAAGAAAACCTAGGCATTACCATTCAGGACATAGGCATGGGCAAGGACTTCACGTCTAAAACACCAAAAGCAATGGCAACAAAAGCCAAAATTGACAAATGGGATCTAATTAAACTAAAGAGCTTCTGCAAAGCAAAAGAAACCATCATCAGAGTGAACAGGCAACCCACAAAATGGGAGAAAATTTTTGCAACCTACTCATCTGACAAAGGGCTAATATCCAGAATCTACAATGAACTCAAAGCAATTTACAAGAAAAAAATAAACAACCCCATCAAAAAGTGGGCAAAGGACATGAACAGACACTTCTCAAAAGAAGACATTTATGCAGCCAAAAAACACATGAAAAAATGCTCACCATCACTGGCCATCAGAGAAATGCAAATCAAAACCACAATGAGATATCATCTCATACCAGTTAGAATGGCAATCATTAAAAAGTCAGGAAACAACAGGTGCTGGAGAGGATGTGGAGAAATAGGAACACTTTTACACTGTTGGTGGGACTGTAAACTAGTTCAACCATTGTGGAAGTCAGTGTGGCGATTCCTCAGGGATCTAGAACTAGAAATACCATTTGACCCAGCCATCCCATTACTGGGTATATATCCAAAGGACTATAAATCATGCTGCTATAAAGACACATGCACACATATGTTTATTGCGGCACTATTCACAATAGCAAAGACTTGGAACCAACCCAAATGTCCAACAATGACAGACTGGATTAAGAAAATGTGGCACATATACATCATGGAATGCTATGCAGCCATAAAAAATGATGAGTTCATGTCCTTTGTAGGGACATGGATGAAATTGGAAATCATCATTCTCAGTAAACTATCGCAAGAACAAAAAACCAAACATCGCATATTCTCACTCATAAGTGGGAATTGAACAATGGGAACACACGGACACAAGAGGGGGAACATCATACTCTGGGGACTGTTGTGGGGTGGGGGGAGGGGGGAGGGATAGCATCGGGAGATATACCTAATGCTAGATGATGAGTTAGTGGGTGCAGCGCACCAGCATGTCACATGTATACATATGTAACTAACCTGCACATTGTGCACATGTACCCTAAAACTTAAAATATAATTTAAAAAAAAAAGTGTGTTGCTTAGTTTCCAAATACTTGGGAAGTTTTCAGGTATCTTTCTATGATTATCTAATTAAATTCTCTTGTGACCAGAGAATATATTTTGTGTAATTTGAATCATTTAAAATTTATGGTGACTCACTTTATGGCCCAGATGGTCTATCTTGGTAAATGTTCCATGAGCACTAGAAAAAAATATGCATCCTGTTGCTATATGGAAGAGTGTTCTCAAAATGTCAGTCAGGTCCAATAGGTTAGTAGGGTTCCTCAAGTGTACAATATCCTTGCTATTTTCTGTCTATTAGTTTTATCAATTATTGAAATAGAAATGATGAAATCTCCAACGGTAACTGTGGATTTGTCTATTTTTTCTTATATTTCTATCAGATTTTCCTTCATGTATTTTGAAGCTATGGTATTAGGTGCATAAATATTTTTGGATTATTACATTATGTTGAAGAATTGACACCTTTATCGTCATGAAATGATGCTAATTATTCCTAGTGATATCTCTTGTTCTGAAATCTACTTTGTCTGATATTAGCATAGTCATTACAACTTTCCTTTGATTAGTATTAGCATGGTATATCATTTCTATCCTTTTATTTTTAATCTGCCTTTGCTTTTATTTTATTTATTTAGGAGTTGAAGATCTCACTATGTTGCTCAGACTGGCCTTGAACTCCTGGGCTTAAGGGATCCTCCTGCCTCAGCCTCCTGAGTAGCAGAGACTGCAGGCTCGAGCCACTGTACCTAGTTTTGTCTTTGCCTTTATATGTAACTTGGGTATCTTAGAGACAGAAAATAATTGGGTCTTGCTTTTTTAAAAAAAAGTCCTGTCGGCCAGGTGTGGTGGCTCATGCCTGTAATCCTAACACTTTGGGAGTCCAGGGCGGGCAGATCACTTGAGGTCAGGAGTTGAAGACCAGCCTGACAAACATGGTGAAACCCCATCTCTACTAAAAATACAAAAAATTAGCCGGATATGGTGGCACACACCTGTAATCCCAGCTACTCGGGAGGCTGAGACAGGAGGATCACTGGAACCTGGGAGGCGGAGGTTGCAGTGGGCTGAGCTCTCACCACTGCACTCCAGCCTGGGAGACAGAGGGAGACTCCATCTCAAAAAAAAAAAAGTCCAATCTGACAATCTGTGCCTTTTGATTAGAGTGTTAATACTAACTACATTTTATGTGATTATTAATACAGTTGGGCTTAAATCTATTATCCTGTTAATTGTTTCCTGTTTGTTCCATCTTTTCTTAATTCCCTTTTTCCTTTTTTGTGTCTTCTTATTGGTTAATCATTTCTATGATTCTACTTTATCTTCTTTATTAGCATATTAGCAATACCTCCTTGTTTCATTTTTTTCATTTGTTGCTTTAGAGTTTATACTACACACCTTTAATTTATATAGTCTACTTTCAAGTAATATTTTACCACTTCGTGTAAAATATAAGCCCCTTACAACAGTATATTTCTATTTCTGCTCTCCCAGATTTTATGCTATTGTTGCCCTACATTTTGTTTCTATATATGTTGTAAACCTCACAATGTATTACTATTATTTTTGCTTTAAACAATAAATTATCCCTTTTAGATATTTCAATTTAACTTTTTTTATATTTATCTACATATTTACCATTTCCAGAAATTTCTTTTATTTTTTGGTATAAATCCAAATGTCCATTTGGCATCATTTTCCTTTTGTGCAAAAAAACCTTCCTTTAACGCTTCTTAAAATTCTGCTGTTGATTTTCTCTCATTGCTTTTGGACATTCTCTTTAACACTAGTTCTTAAAATTCAATTATGATGTGTCTTGATATAGTTTTCTTCATGTTTTTTTTTCCTGCTTGGGGGTTCATTGAGCTTCTTAGATCTGCAGGTTTATCGTTTTGTCACATTCAGAAAAGTTTTAATCATTCTTTCTTTAAATATTTTTTCTGCTCCCTCTTCTGGACTCTGATGGCACGTATATTAGGCAATCTGATGTTGTTCCTCAGCTTACTGACGCTTTGTTGGTTTCTTTTTTCCAGACTTCTTCTCGGCGCTGCATTTTGAATTGTTTCTACTAGTGTATCTTGAAGTTTACTAAGCTTTTCTTCTGGAGTGTCTAAGATGCTGTTCATCTCGGCCAGTATTTTTTCATCTGTAGAATTTAATTCAGTCTTTTTTTATGTTCTCCATATCTCTCCTTAACATGCTCATACATTCTTCTACCTTTGTGAACACATGGAGTATATTATCACTTTTTAATATTCTGCTCCGCATAATTCTAGCATCTGTATCATTTCTGTTTCAGTCAATTTATTTTTCTTCTTATTCTGGGTCATATTTTCTTTTTGTTTTGTTTTGTTTTGTTTTCAGAAAGAGTCTCGCTCTGTCGCCCAGGTTGGAGTGCAGTGGCACGATCTCGGCTCACTGAAACCTCCGTCTCCCGGGTTCAAGCGATTCTCCTACCTCAGCGTTCCGAGTAGCTGGGACTACAGGTGCGCACCGCCACGCCCGGCTAATTTTTGTATTTTTTTGTAGAGACGGGGTTTTGCCATGTTGCCCAGGCTTGTCTCGAATTCCTGAGCTCAAGCAGTTCGCCCGCTTTGGCCCCTCAAAGTGTTGGGACTACAGGTGTAAGCCACTGTGCCCGGCCCTGGGTCGTATTTTCCTGCCTCTTTGTATGCCTGTTAAGGTTTGATTGGATGCCAGATGTGGCTGGAAAGGTCACTCATGATTAGTTACTTCTACTAATTCTCTGACTTCATCTTCTAATCTCCACCCCTCCCAGGTCTCTGATTTTGCCACCCTGAACTTCTTGCACACTTCCTCGTTCATTTGCACATGCTGTCCCCTTTCTCTGGGGCACTCTTCCCTAGGCGGTCCCCATGGGTTTCTCCCTAACTTCATTTGGGTCTGTGTTCAAATGTCACATTACCAAAAACATTCTATCACCTTTCCTTGCTTTATTTGCCTTTAAACATTTATAACCACTTGCCAGCCATGTTACTTACTGATTGTCTATTTTTACCTCACCGCCCACCTCTGCTAAAATGTACCATGACAGCATCACCGAGAACTACTGCCATCAGCTATATAATGAAACTATTTTTAAGCAACAACAACAGCAGCAGAGAAGAGGGACCAACAGGGTCCAATGCATCAGAGGGGTCCAAACTGGTAAGCACTGAAAAATATCTATTGAATCGGACAATTAGGAGGACTAACCTCCTCAAGAGTAAGTTCCTGCAGTTTGCTGGATAAAGGGCATCAGAGCGCCGTGGGTTGGGTTGAGGACATCTTCTCCCTTACAGCCTCCTGGTTCTTCTCTCAGAAAAACTTCTCCTCCTTCCCAGCTCAATCCTATTTATTTATTTTAAAATTTATTGTGTATATTTAAGGTATACAACATGCTGTTATAGGATACACATAGTTAGTAAAATATTTACTATAGCAAAGCAAATGAACATCTCTGTCGTCTCCGCACAGTTACCCATTTTTGTTGCTTTTGTGGCAAGAGCAGCTACAATCTAGTCATTTAGTAGGAATCCCAAGTACAGTGCGATTTTATGACCTACAACCATCATGGTGTACATTAGATCTCTCCACACACCTGTTACATTGTATCCTCTGACCTACGTCTTCCCATTTCTTCCTCCCATTCCTCCCCAGCCTGCTTCCACCCCAGTAACTGCTGTTTTATTATCTGCGTCTGCACATTTGATTTTGTTTTTAGATTCCACATGTAAGTGACATCATGCACTATTTTTTTTTCCTGTCTGACGCATTTCACTCAGCATAGTGTCTTCCAGGTTAATCCATGTTGTGCCAAACGACAGGACCTTCTTTTTAAAGGCTGAATAATATTCCATTGTATACAGATGCCACAGTTTTTTAAATCCATTCCTCCATCGACACTTGGGTGGTTCCATATCTTGACTATTGTGAAGAATGCTGCGTGAAAATAGAAGTGCAGGTATTTTAAAAAGGTGGTTATTTCATTTTGGGGGGATATAGTCACAGAACAGAGATTGCTGGGTCTTCTGGTAGTTCTGTTTTTAATTTCTTTAGAAACCTCCATACTGTTTTCCATGATGGCTGCACCAAATCTACATTCCCACCAACAGTGTACAAGTGTTCCCTTTTCCCCACACCCCTATGACTTTTTGATAATAGCCATCCTATAGGGTCTAAAATAATATCTCATAGTGGTTTTGATTCACATTTTCCTGATGATTAATGATGTCAAGGACCTTTTCATATATCTGTTGGCCATTTTTATGTCTTCTTCGGAGAAATGTCTATTCAGGTCCTTTGCCCATTTTAAAATTAGTTTATTTGTTTTTCTATAATTGATTTGTATGTGTACTTTATAAATGTTGGATATTAACCCCTTATCGGATATATGGTTTGCAAAAATTTTTTCCCAGTCCATAAGTTGCTATTTTGTTTTGTTGATTGTTTCCTTTGTTGTGCAGAATCTTTTTAATTTGATGTAGCCCCATTTATTTATTTTTGCTTTTGTAGCCTGAGCTTTTGCTGCGATCTCCAAAAAATCATTGCCAGTTGGATGTGGTGGCTCACACTTATAATCCCAGCACTTTGGGATGTGAGGTGGGAGGATCACTTGAGTCCAGAGGTTCGAGACCAGCCTGGGCAACATAAGGAGATGCTGTCTCTACCAAAAAGGAAAAAGAAAATGAAAAAAATCATTGCCAAGGCAACTGTCCAGGAACTTTTCCTCCATGTTTTCTTCTAGGAGTTTTATAGTTTCAGATCTTGCATTTAGGTTTTTTTAAAAAAATCTATTTTGAGTTGATTTTTGTGTATGGTGTCAGATAAGGGTCTAGTGTCATTCTTTTGCATGTGGAAATCCAGTTTTCCTGGCATCATTTATTGAGAAGACCATCCTTGCCCCATTTTGTCCTCTTGGAGCCCTTGACAAAAATGAGTTGACCATATATGTTTGAAATTATTTCTAGGCTGTCTCTTCTGTTCCGTTGGCCTATATGTCTTTTTTTCTGTCAGTACCATACTGTTTTGTTTACTATGGTTTTGAAATATATAGTAATTTTTCACTATATTTTTAAATTTTTAACTTTTACTATATTTTAAAGTAATTGTTAAATCAAGAAATGTAACGCTTCAGAATGCCTTCAGGATGGCTAATCATTAACAGTTTTCTTTCAGAAACTGTAAGAATTTAACACAAAAAGTAGTTTGGAAGCACACATTAAGGAGTTACCGGAAGAAGTTTCTTTTCCTAAATGTGCCTATAGGACCAGATACAAATCCAGCCCTGAATAATAAATGGAAGATTTCTATTTGTATTTCTTTCTTAGAATTGTTTTGGCTATTTGGGGTCTTTTGTGGTTCTGTATGAATTGTAGGAATTTTTTTTTTCTATTTCCATGAAGAATGTCATTGGGATTTTGATAAGAATTGTGTCAAGTCTGTATATTGCTTTGGATAATAGGGACATTTTAACAATATTAATTCTTCTGATCCATGAGCACAGAATATCTTTCCATTTGTTTATATCTTTTTTAGTTTTTTTATTGATGCTTTATACTTTTCAATGTACAGATCTTTCATCTCCTTGATTATTTCTCCCAAGTATTTTATTTTATTTTATTTTATTTTATTTTATTTTTGATGATATCACAAATAAGATTGTGTTTGTTATTTCTTTTTCAGCTAGGTCATTATTTGTGTATAAAAATGCTACTAATTGGGGCCAGGCGTGGTGGCTCATGCCTGTAATCCCAGCACTTTGGGATGCCGAGGTGGGTGGATCACCTGAGGTCAGGAGTTCAAGACCGGCCTGGCCAACATGCTGAAACACCATCTCTACCAAAAAATACAAAAATTAGCCAGGCGTGGTGGTGCATGCCTGTAATCTCAGCTATTTGGGAGGCTGAGACAAGAGAATTGCATGAACCCGAGAAGCGGAGGTTCCAGTGAGCTGAGATTGCACCACTGCACTCCAGCCTGGACGACAGAGTAAGACTCTGTCTCAAAAAACAAACAAACAAACAAAAAAGCTATTGATTTTTAAAAAATGTTCGAAACACATTTATTTTCTAAATCACCTGAAGTTGACTTATATAAGATAATTTCAACAAATAAAATGTTCAATGAAAAATTGTGGTATGCAACGTACTTATGTCATTACAAGTTGAGGAACAAAGATATTTTTTAAATTAACTGTAGGTTTTAGGGAAACATTTATTATACAGTACTACCAAAATAAAAGTGGATCCCTAAGAACAGCTCAAATACCCAGTGAAGTATTAAGAGGTTAACTATAATTTGTTTTCAGTCATATTCAGAAAATTTAATGTGTTTACTTGCTTGTTGAGTCTTTACAAGTTTAATCTTTTTGGCTTTGGTGATTAACTTTTAGTACCTCTTTCTTTTCCCTAGCTGATTAAGTTTGGCCTACCTATCAACAAAAATCTGCCAGTATCTTTGTGATCACCAGAAAAGCCCTTGAGTTTCCAGCGGTATTTCTTTTTAATTTCTGTAAGTGCACTTATTATTGCTTGAGATCCTCAGGAGTTTTGAATCTAGCCTGGCATTCTGTATCTCTTTCTAGCAAATCAACATAAACAACTCCTGAGATTGCTCCAAAGTATTGCATACAAAAGCACTTACAACTTTAAAAATGGGTAAAAATCAACCAGGCATGGTGGCTCACACCTGTAATCCCAGCACTTTGGGAGGCCGAGGTGGGTGATCACTTGAGGTCAGAAGTTTGAGACCAGCCTGGGAAACATGGTGAAACCCCATCTCTACTAAAATACAAAAGTTAGCTGGGCGAGGTGGCGCACACCTGTAGTCCCAGCTACTCAGGAGGCTGAGGCAGGAGAATCACTTGAACCTGGGAGGCAGAGGTTGCGGTGAGCTGAGATCACACCACTGCACTCCAGCCTGGGTGAGAGAGCAAGACTTGGTCTCAAAAAAAAAAAAAGGGTAAAAATCGTTGTGTGTGTGTGTTTGTTGTGTTTTGTTTTGTTATAGTCACACCTGTGTATCAAACACTTCCCCTGGGGCATTTCAGTCCTTGCCCTCTAGCAGGGCACAGTGTGATGGAGGAGGGTTCAGAGAGCTCCCAGCCAGATGGGATGTGCTTGAGCGTGTATGTGTGTGCATAGAAATAAAGATCATCAAAAAGACAACAAACGTAAAAAAGCAATACAGGAACACATTTAGTGAGCACATGCTACGGGGATGCTGGAGAGAAGAGGCCAACTCAGGGACGGAAGGCAGGGACACCCTCTCTGGCTCTGGAGCACTGGGACTGACAGTTGCGACATCCATAATTCATAGCCCATCAATCTTGGAGGGTCCTGTGCTCTGACCCTTTTAAAAATGACCCTCTTCTCTGATAGCTGAGCCCTCCTTGGAGGCCCAGGGCAGAAAGGTTTCTCTGCAAGACATCCTCTGGTGCCCAGCATGATGGATGAGGAGGCCAGAGCTGCTCAGGGCAGCTGAGGCCAGTGGGGCTGAGTGGGGAGATAAATATAGCAGCAAATCCAGCTCTGTGTATAGAGAGTGCGGAAGGCCAAAGGGCAGTGCCCTGGGTAGCATTGAACATGTAAGAGGTGACTTAACAAGCGCAGCTCGTGAAGGAAACAGGGAAGGAGCAGTCAGAGAAAGGTGGAGAAAACAAGCAGTGTAATGCATCATGGAAGCCAAAAGGGAAGACAGCTTCACCAGGACAGCGGAGACGCCAGCGGTGCCTGCAGAGTCCTCCAGAGAGGCCCCTGCCATGGAGGGTGGAAACGTGCCTCGTGAATTTGATCAGTAAGAGGTCCTTGGGGAGCCTGGGGAGAGCAGTATCAATGAAAGGTGGAGGCAAAAACCAGGTTTCCATGGGCTGAGCAACAAATAGAAAGTGAAGAAGGGATACTAGGAGTCAGATTGTCAGATTTAGCAAATAAAAATACAGGATGTTCACTTAAATTTCAATTTATCTGACATTTGAATTTCAGATAAACAATGAATAAATTTTTAGTATAATAAGTATGTCCCAAATATTGCATGGGACATACATAAACTGAAATAATTATTTGTCATTTATCTGAAATTAAAGTTCAAGTGGGCATCATGTATTTTATGTGGCGGTTCTAACAGGTTAGCGTGTGGACTTCTCTCCCAAACAACTTGTCTGGGAAGAAGAGCTGATTGCTAGAGCCATAGCTAGAAAGGGACCCCAGTCAATGGAAAGTTGTATTTAGGATGGGATCATCTAAGCGTGTAGCCCAGGCAGCACTTTCTGTAGCCTGTTTGTAGGCCGAAGAGAAAGAAGGAGAGGCTAAAGACACAGTTGGGAGAATGCTAGATTATTGAAACCATGGGCCTCTAATCAGGACCAGCAATCATTTCACTGGATCCACCCATAAAAAGCAGAAAGTCCCTCCCCAACACTCCATTCCACTAAAAGCTCAGAAAAATGCAAATTTCCAACATTGATTTGCAAGTGTATTCCCGCTCCTGCAAACTGCAGGATTGTGGATTTCATACAAACTCTATCCAGTAGATTTTTGTTTCTTTTGTTCTTTTGTTCTTTTTCTTGGTGTTTTAATGGACCACCATAGCTGAAAATATTTTGCTAAATAGAGCAATCCACTTTGCCAACTTCAGCATTTCTTAAAATTCTGTCACCAGATAGAACCATTTTTAATAGCTAGATTCCATAACCAGTTCAGGCCTCAAGCCTAGGTCTTTTAAAGCGAATGAATCAGATTAGTGCTGAAATCGAGCTCCTCCTTCCTCTTTTTCTATTTTTACTCTTACTGCTAATGGCGAAGTTATCAAAGCCTCTTTTGATGATGAAATAATTGTATCATTGAATCATCACATGACTGAGTCAACAGCTGTTTTTCTTCCTCATCACACCAGTTTCCAGGGTCACATCTGGCTTGAGAAACTTGAAGTCTGGTGTCCTTTTGTTTATTTTTGTTCCTTTTCCTCTAATTCCTTAGATTTCTGCCAGATTGGGAGCCTTCATTAGTGTTTTGTTTCTGTGTTCGTGAGACAGAAAGGCAGACAATGGTTTTTTTCCCCTTTCCACAAATGCTAACTTGAAGTCTTGTTTTGTTTTCATTCACTTTTGAGGCAGAGTCCAGCCCACCAAGTCGAATTCTTTGCTCAGTTTTAGGCATGTAGACCCCACAGCAGAAGCAGTGCTGTGGCTTCCGCTGTCCTTCCTAAGAATGTCCCTGGCTGCTAACTGTTTGGATGTTCCCCTCCTTCACTAGGGACTTTGAGACTGTTAATAAGAAAAAAATAACAACATTGGGCTACACCAATTTCCCTTCTCTCAAATTGCTTGTTCTATGTTAGTTTCAAAACAAGAGTTTGCCACCTTGGTTTTAAAGAGAGCACTAATGGACTGCCCCCAGTGCTACCTGTTCTGTTTCTAATCTGCTCCAGGATCCGACAGAATCCATATAAGGTAGAGGACAATTGCTTTGAACAGACATCCTCAAGATAGTTCATAATTTTGCCTTTGGTTTTCTCATTTGTAGCACTCAGGATAGAGCTTGGTCTTCTTTGGTGCCTGAGATTTAGGATTGGGCAGGAGGAGGTTATGTTTGGGATCTGCTTTCAAGTAAAATATCTCTACCAACTAATGAGTAATTTAAGATTCTCTCTCTATATGGTACTTATCCCAAGAGGTAGACAAGTACAGACGGGGTGTAGCTAAAGCTGGGGCCATGGCGGGACAGGAAAGTTTCTTTATGGGTCAAAATACTTGCAGTGTTAAACAGGCATGTTACCAAAACAGGTTCCCTCAGGGTGATGGCTCTTCGTCTGCTAGGCTGACCAGGGGGCCCAGATGGTGTGCCTGATATCTGGGAGGACGTCTCCAAGAATGTGTGACTTAAGTCACCTCACCTGGAGGTTGAAGGCCTTACATTATTTAAGCCAGAAAGGACTTCGAAGACCCTGTAGCCTCAGGGCTCCCAGACTTAATTTCATGGTCTATTACAAGTTGGAAGTAAAATACTGTAAAAAGTAACTGGTTGTCGATAAGTTTTATTTTGCCAGTTGAGCAAATAAAATACTCACCTTCTGTCATCATTTCAGAAAAGTACCTTTTAATGTAAAAAATATGGAAGACTTATTCTCTCACTCTTAACATAAAGGATATATATCCCTGTCCTTCCCCAGAAAGTCAGTATTAAACTTACACTAACAGTACACAAATATACTGTATTATATGTCTGTGTGTATCAATATGCATGCACATCATCATCCTCCTCCTTACTTTTTCCTTATCACATGGGTAGCTGTAATGTAGTGATTTAGTACGTGGACTCTGGGACCAGGATACCTGAGTTCAAATCCAGGCTCTACCACTTACCATATGAAGACCTTCAGGTAAGTTACTTAACCTCTCTGAGCCTTGGTTTTATCATCTATCATGTGAAGGTGTTAATAAGAATACATACTTTTCCAGGTGGTTATGAGATTAAATGAGTTAATATATGAAAACCACTTCACACAAAGGAAATACCCAGTAATTCATAGCCATTGTTATATTATTTTGCCACAGACTAGTGAAATCTTTATAAATTGGTATCTGGGAACCACTGACAAAGCACTCCTTTCCTTTTCCATATAAGGAACAACTTAAGTCTAGAGTGGGCATGATTTGTCCAACTCAGGTCATGGCCAGTCAGTGACTGGCATGGGCATAGAACTCAAGTCTGCTGACCAAGTCCAATGCATCTCTGAGGTTTCCTGGAAAAAAAAAAGTCAGTTAGGCAAATGACTGGAGGGTAGGATGGGAATCAGTGAACATGGGCTGAGTGTGTGCATAGAGAGGGGCGGGGAGCCAGCACTTGAGCAGAGCACACTAACCAGTTTGGGAACCCCAGGGAAGTCTGGCCATTGCTGTCTCCTTTCTCTTTCCTCCAACCTCAGAGAAAATGAATATAGGAGCAGGTGACAGCCTGGGGTTGGGGGTCGAGGGAGTCTGCACGTGGGATGGAGTAGGTCGGTAGCAATGCACTTCTACCTCTTCCTCCTTCAGCCTTCAGTCCACCCATAGAACATACGGCTGAATCTCCAAAGTCCTACCTCTTACGACTCTGCTGGTACAGTCTGTTGGATGGAGGTCCTGCCCCTCCCAGGCACCAATCACCAGAGCAACCAAGGCTGGAAATAATGCTCAACCCTTCCACTCATTTTTGCTGCTGTGGTTTGGGGACCATTCTCCATTTCCTAAGCAGACACAGCCTTGGTGAGGACCATGGGATCAGGTAGGATTGCACTCAGTGGCTGGTAACAGAATCCATGGGACTATGGCTTCTTTTTCACTCCCCATAGCAGGAAATCAGGGTGTCCAGGGCAGGCTCCTTTAGTCCCTCTGTTCCATCATCCTTCACATATGACTTTCATCCTCATGACCACCTCCTGATCACATGTTCCAGGCAGGACGGAGACAAAAGAAAATGACAAAAAGCAAGGGTTGGGTACATATCAGGAAATCCAGACTTTCCCCTAAACCTTCCAGGGGCTCCTGCTACTGGAAGCTACTCCTAGCTGCAAGGGAGCAAAGGAAAGGTCATCTTTTGTCTGGGTAACAAATTGTGGTTTTATTAAGTAAGGAAGGAGAGAATTGATATTGGATAAGAAACATTTACTCCCAGGAAGATACAAATTGGAGCCTTTTCATTTCCTTTCCTCCAAAGTTGATTTCAGCGGGATCACAGTCCAAGGAAGCATTAGCCCAGCTCCAGAAGCCTTAATGTCTGTATGGCCTTTGCTGAAACCCAGAACTCACATACAGTGGATCAGGCAGCACACAGCACCCTGCATACCTTTTTTTACAAGTCTCCTTACACTTTCCTCTGACTCCTCTCAGTGGCGCTTCCAACCTCCCTCTCTCCTGCAAAGCAAAACAAAACAAAACAAGAGAGGCCAACTGGCAGCCTGTGCTGCCCTCTCTGCACAGCCTCCCATCTCTCTGACATCTTCCCTGTTACCACGTTTTTCCCTTTGTCTTCTCTGTGCACTTTCTTGTGGAAATGGGTTTGGTCTCTGGGTTGTTACAAATCTAGGCCTCCACCCCTTAGCCCCATAAGCACAACCAAGGCTGAAAATGATGAATCTGGGAGATTATGACACAACCTGTGAACTATACTGTGATATTTCCCCCCGGCTACCCAGGTTACCAGCAAGCCAGTGTAAACTTAAGCGCTGCTTCTACAACATCTGCAGACACCAGTCAGGGTGGGTCAGCTGTGCTTTGCTCCAGCCCTGGAGACCTGCCCCATCCCCGCTCAGCCTCCTGCTCTTCTTGTTCTTATGTTGTCTGAACTCCCCACTTTGATACTCATCCTACTGGCTTCAGCCAAATAATTCCCATCTGCTCCTTCAGAGGCCCACTTAGGATGGTCTGTTTGGGGAGGTTCTCTCAATTCACCTCACTGGCCCCAAGCCAGTCTGCTGTGCTACTCTGATAGGTCAGCCCTTGGTTTATATTATTTGTATTTGTACTTGGTATTCCGATTTTGAGCTGCATTCTTTATATCTGTTCTGTCTCCACTATTAGGCTGGGACCAACCTGAGTGCAAAGTCTGGGTCTCCTGTCAACCCCTCGGGACAAGGGTTACTTTTTTTTTCCCAGCTGATGTTTCTTGGGTACCTTCCATGTGTCAGATGCTGAGGTTGGTGCTCAGGACATGAGACAGACCCAGCCCCTGTTCTCCCTCAGGACTTGCTTCTCCTGGTCCTGTCTGTGCCCCCAGGACAGCACTCTGCCTGACACATCGGGACAACTGACCACTGTCTGGACAGAGATGAGGAAGAGGATAGGGATTCAGCCCTTGGAGATGAGCCCCATCACTCTCTTCCTGGATTCCAAGTTCATACCACTCTGGCGGCTCCTCTGAAAATCCCCAGGCCTCCTCCCAGTCTCCCGGCATCCGGTGTTGCTGTTGGCCGGGCCTGCCTGCCACACAGCCAGGGACTGAAGGACATTTTATTCCAAATGAGGGCAGTCAGCTGAATTTCCAAACCAAAGATTTTTCCACTTCAAATTTTCTCCTTTCCTCTTCTGCCCAAATAACACATTTGTTTTGTAGAAAAGGGACAGAGCAGTTCTATATCTAAGGGTTAAAGACTTTATGGGGATACCTGGGGGATAGGCAGGGCTGTGGCCAAAGTCCTTATCCTGTTGGGAGGAGAGGGAAAAGAAAGGAACTGAGAAGGGCCTTCCAGTCCCCAGGAAGACAAAGGGGATAAGATCAAATCAAGGGATGCCTTTTTTCTTTCCGACCCTATACTGCACTCTCCTTCTTCTTCCATCTCCTTTTCCTGTTTTTTATTTCCTCTTCCTCTCTTCCTTCCCACTATCTTCTTCTCTCTCTTCCTCTCCTTCCTCTTCCTCCATGCATTCATTCATTCATGCATTCTCCCAGCAGACATTTATTCAGCATCTACTATGTGTCAGACACTGCCGCAAGCTAAGAATACAGAGACAACTAAGTCAAGGCTCAGAGTTCTTATAGTCCAGAGGTTGAGGAGGGTGGGGCAGACAGATGACAGGCTGGGGTGAGGAGCTACAACTGGCAAGGAGAGGTACTGGTAAATCTCCAAGTACATTCAGAAGCTCATGCAGTACATTTAGAACAAGGGAAACTCTGGGAATCAAGGAAAACTTTTTAAAAAACTTAAAACTTAAAATTTTTAAAAATAAGTATTTATTTATGTATTTCTTATTATTACTATTATTATTTTTTGAGACAGGGTCTCACTCTGTTGCTCAGGCTGGAGTGCAGTGGTGTGATCATAGTTCACTGCAGCCTCAACCTCCTGGGCTCAAGCAATCCTCCCACCTCAGCCTCCCAAGTAGCTGGGACCATGGAAGTGCATGACCATGCCCGGCTAATTTTTTTTTTTTTTTTTTTTAAGAGACAGGGTCTCTCTGTATTGCCTAGAGTGGCATTTTTTAAATAGACTTTTTTTTTTTTAGAGCAGTTTTATGTTTACATCAAAATTGAGTAGAAAGTACAGAGTTCCCCATGTATCCCCTGCCCCTCACACACACAGCCTCCCCAACTATCAACATCCCCCACAGGAACAGTCATTTGCTAAACCCGATGAACCTACATTTTAACATCATTATCACCCAAAGTCCAGAGTTCACATTAAGGTTCACTCTTGGTGTTGTACATTCTATGAGTTTGGACAAATGTATAATGAATTGTATCCACCTTTATAGGATCATGCGGAGTAGTTTAACTACCTAAACATCCTCTATGCTTTGCCTCACTTAATCTTTCAATCTTCAATTTCTTCTTCTTTGAAATGGGAAATATAACAATTATCTCATAGAGTGATCATGAGGATAAAACAAAATAATATATATGAATATTCTGCTTTAAGTGTGGGTTATTTATATAATATCACAGGGAAAAACCAAGAGAACTCACATAGTTGTCCCTGATTGTGGTATGTGCTACGGGAGAAAGGAGAGAAGCAGATAGGAAAGGATGAACTTTCGCCCAAGCATCAGGGAGACGCTGCTGCATGAGGTTTGGGCTGCAGGCGACACTGGGAGTAGTAGTAGGAGGAGGGCACGGAGGCCCACGGAATTCTAACAGGGACTCTGGACTGTTCCCTGCTCCTGAAGTAGCCCATCCCAACTTTATCCAGGCAGTCCTCTGGCTGCTGCTGGCAGGGGCTCAGAGAGCCTGTGTGAGTCACATCCACGTGGCTGATGTGGGGAGGGAAGAAGGGATGGGGAGGGCTCATGCCCGCGCAGGGCCACGCTGGCTTGGAGAAATGGTTCCTGAAAGTCCCTGGCAGAAAGTGGGCTGCTGTGGGCTGTTAATGTGCCATGCAAATCAACCAGTAAACAGTCCCCAATGAGAATCCCAGATGTCTGTTCACTCCAAAGCACAAGACACTCATTTTGGGCTCCAGGTGGGGACCAGCTCAAGTGAACCCTGCCCATGAGCTGAGGCAGGACTGCTGGTCTCTCTGTCTTCCTGCCTCTGGACGGGGACCTTGTTCCTGGAGACCTCATTGTCCTCCTACACTGAGACAGGCAGTGTCTACACAGGGAGAAGGCGACCGGCAGTACAGATGACATCAACATATCACCTTTCATTCAGGATGGGAAAAATCATTCTGGGGTCTGCTTAGGCTGTCTAGGCAGAACAAAAGAGCTGCACCATAGTGCTAGAGACAGGATGAACCATATGGTATGCTTGTGGGGTACCCCAAATTTCCACCTGAGTTGGGTCTGTTGCCAGGCAGAGGCACAGCTGGGTTTGGGGGGATGCCAGGTGCTTGCTGTATATATGCTCAGAATGCGTTGGCTTGTGGGGAGGATAGCTAGAGAGGGAGAGGTGGAATGAAGCACATCTGGTGACCCGATTTTTTGTTTTCTTGTTCTTAGTTAAGAGCCTCAGCTATTCTTGGGGCTGGAGGAAGAAGACAAGGAAACAGGCAGGGGCAGGAGAAGGAGAAAATGGGGCAGGTAGTGTATGTTACTTGGGGAGGCTCAGAGAGGGAGTGCTGTTTTGATCCCGGGAAGGCCTCTACTTCTCATGGAGTGCGAAGGGGCTTGGTGTTCCTAGGTGAGGAAGAAAAGTATGGTCACATGACCATTTAGCAGCCTCTCCCACAGGGACTCAACATGCAGTCATATCAATATATCATTCCAAAAGCAGCACATAAACACATATACCTTCAAGGATAATTGCAAGCACAGGGTTTAATTATACAGACAATGAAAGCCCACACTTCTTAGAGACACACTGCCACTGAAACACACACAGCCCTGCTCATAAAGACTAGAAGTGGTCACATTGACCCTTCAGGTCAGGGCAAATGTGCCTTGAACCAGCATCACCCTTTGGAGTTTGCAAAGTCTAATGTCCATCTCAAGTTTTCCACAAACTTCTGGAGGGTGCTCCTGCTTCTGATGAATTGTTCGATCCAGGGTCCTCTGGCCATTCCTGGTGACTGTCCCTGTTCCACACCACCACCATCCAGGTGGAGAACATGGCAGAAATACTTGCAAGGCTTCTGTGATGTGGAAAACTTAGGAAGCTTTGAAGAAATGAAGAGCTTTACATCATAGCAATAACACTAAACACTAAATAATACTAAACAACAGACATTTCTGGTATGACTTTTTAAAAATCCATTGATCATTTTCATAACTCAGGGTGCAGACTCTTTGCATGTTATTCAGCTAATCCCCTTCCCCCTCTTCATTGTTGTCTTCTTCTTAGGGGCAAAATCCGAATTCCTCTCATTTCTTACGTGGAACAACTTTCTCCAATCTCTGCTGCCAAACGTGGCTCGTGAACTCCCTTAGCATAGCCAAAAACTCACTGGAAGCTCTGAAAATAGCCCTGGTGACTTGCTGATTAAGCTCCTAGAGCAGAGGCTATCTGCCTTCCCCATCTTCCTGTACTAAGGGCAGTTTTTATTTTTCTAGCTAAATGTAAATATGCAAATATACACTTGGACACAGAACTCTCGATCCACTTCCCCAAATAGGTTAGACAGGAAGAATTCATCTATGCCATGTTCAGGGCAGTTAGCTAAATCTAAAATTGCCTCCCTCCCTCAACTTCCTACTCTCTACTTTCAGGGTTCCCGGGGCTCTTTTTACAACAGATTTATAAAGTCAACATCATTGAGAGCCTGCCCTATGCCAAGCATTCTTCTTGGGAGATACAAAGATGATAAAACAAGACCACGGAACTCAAGGAGCTCAAATCCTAGATGGAGTGGCAGATAAGTAAACATGGAATCATGATGTAATAAGATGAAGTCTATGATAGGGAAGGTAAAATGTGCTATTGGAACACAGAGAAGAGCAGTTGAACCAGCTTGGGGCTGGGAGTGTGAGGAGGATGTGCAGGATGAGTAGAAGTTCATCACTTAAAGGAGAGGGTACAAAACCTGACCATCCATTTATGCAGTTGCAATTGTTTATTACTTTGCTAAGCAGTGAACAAGATGGACAGGCTTCACTTGGTGGTGAAAACTGCAGGCTTTATAAATAGGTGAGTGTTGTGGAAGGGGACCCTCAGGGCCAGGTAAACCTGTCTAATGAGGTGACACTTAACCTGAAGCCTAAAACATCGGTTCCCTAATGTTTTTGGTACCAGGGACTGGTTTCATGGAAGATAATTTTTCCATGGACAGTGGGGTTCAGAGGGGAATAGTTTTGGGATGAAACTGTTCCACCTCAGATCATCAGGAGCCAGTTAGATTCTCATAAGGAGTGTGCAACCTAGATCCCTCGCATGCACGGTTCACAAGAGGGTTTGTGCTCCTATGAGAGTCTAATGGCACTGCTGATCTGAAAGGAGGAGGAGCTCAGGTGTTAATGCTTGCCAGCCACTCACCTCCTGCACCTCCCACTGTTTGGCCTGGTTCCTGACAGGCCATGGACTTGTACCAGTCCACAGCCTGGGGGTTGGGGACCCCTGGCCTAAAAGAAGAATAAGAGTTAGCTAGGTGAAAGGGTGGGAATATGTTTAGGCAGATTAAAAAAGCATGTTTTGGGGGAGGTTCCAAGATGGCCGAATAGGAACAGCTCCAGTCTGCAGCTCCCAGCATAAGTGACGCAGAAGGTGGGTGATTTCTGCATTTCCAACTGAGGTACCGGGTTCATCTCACTGGGGCTTGTCAGACAGTGGGTGCAGCCCACAGAGCAAGGCGGGACATTGCCTCACCCAGGAAGCACAACGGGTCAGGGAGTTCCCTTTCCTAGCCAAGAGAAGCTGTGACAGACGGTACCTGGAAAACTGGGACACTCCCACCCTAATACTGCGCTTTTCCAATGGTCTTAGCAAATGGCACACCAGGAGATTATATCCCACGCCTGGCTCGGAGGGTCCCACGCCCACGGAGCCTTGCTCACTGCTAGCACAGCAGTCTGAGATCGAACTGCAAGGCAGCAGCGAGGCTGGGGGAGGGGCATCTGCCATTGCTGAGGCTTGAGTAGGTAAACAAAGTGGCTGGGAAGCTCGAACTGGGTGGAGCCCACCACAGCTCAAGCAGGCCTGCCTTCCTCTGTAGACTCCACCTCTGTGGGCAGGGCATAGCTGAACAAAAGGCAGTAGAAACTTCTGTAGACTTAAATGTCCCTGTCTGAAAGCTTTGAAGAGAGTAGTTGTTCTCCCAACATGGAGTTTGAGATCTGAGAATGGACAGACTGCCTCCTCAAGTGGCTCTCTGACCCCCAAGTAGCCTAACTGGGAGACACATCCCAGTAGGGGCTGACTGACACCTCATACAGCCGGGTGACCCTCTGAGATGAAGCTTCCAGAGGAAGGATCAGGCAGCAACATTTGCTATTCTGCAATATTTGCTTTCTGCAGCTTCCACTGGTGATACCCAGGCAAACAGGGTCTGGAGTGGACCTCCAGCAAACTCCAACAGACCTGCAGCTGAGAGTCCTGACTGTTAGAAGGAAAACTAACAAACAGAAAGGACAACCACACCAAAACCCCATCTGTACATCACCATCATCAAAGACCAAAGGTAGATAAAACCACAAAGATGGGGAGAAACTAGAGCAGAAAAGCTGAAAATTCTAAAATCTGAGCACCTCTTCTCCTCCAAAGGAACGCAGCTCCTTTCCAGCAATGGAACAAAGCTGGACGGAGAATGTCTTTGACGAGTTGAGAGAAGGCTTCAGACGATCAGTAATAACAAACTTTTCCGAGCTAAGGGAGGATGTTCGAACCCATCGCAAAGAAGCTAAAAACCTTGAAAAAAGATTAGACAAATGGCTAACTAGAATAAACAGTGTAGAGAAGACCTTAAATGACTTGATGGAGCTGAAAACCATGGCATGAGAACTATGTGATGCATGCACAAGCTTCAGTAGCCAGTTTGATCAAGTGTAAGAAAGGGTATCAGTGATTGAAGATCAAATGAATGAAATGAAGTAAGAAGAGAAGTTTAGAGAAAAAAGAGTAAAAAGAAACTAACAAAGCCTCCAAGAAATATGGGACTATGTGAAAAGACCAAATCTACGTCTGATTGGTGTACCTTAAAGTGACGGGGAGAATGGAACCAAGTTGGAAAACATTCTTCAGGATATTATCCAGGAAAACTTCACTAACCTAGCAAGGCAGGCCAACATTCAAATTCAGGAAATACACAGAACATTACAAAGATACTCCTCAAGAAGAGCAACTCCGAGACACGTAATTGTCAGATTCACCAAAGTTGAAATGAAGGAAAGGCAGCCAGAGAGACAGATCAGGTTACCCACAAAGGGAAGCCCATCAAACAGCAGATCTCTCAGCAGAAACTCTACAAGCCAGAAGAGAGTGGGGGCCAATATTCAACATTCTTAAAGAAAATAATTTTCAACCCAGAATTTCATATCCAGCCAAACTAAGCTTCATAAGTGAAGGAGAAATAAAGTCCTTTACAGACAAACAAATGCTGAGAGATTTTGTCACCACTAGGCCTCCTTACAAGAGCTCCTGAAAGAAGCACTAAATATGGAAAGGAACAACTGGTAGCAGCCACTGCAAAAACATGCCAAATTGTAAAGACCATCAATGCTAGGAAGAAACTGCATCAACTAACCAGCAAAATAACCAGCTAACATCATAATGACAGGATCAAATTCACACATAACAATATTAACCTTAAATGTAACTGGGCTAAATGCTCCAATTAAAAGACACAGACTGGGAAATTGGATAAAGAGTCAAGACCCAACAGTCTGCTGTATTCAGGAGACCCATCTCACGTGCAGAGACACACATAGGCTCAAAATAAAGGGATGGAGGAATATCTACCAAGGAAATGGAAAACAAAAAAAAAGCAGGGGTTGCAATCCTAGTCTCTGATAAAACAGACTTTAAACCAACAAAGATCAAAAGAGACAAAGAAGGCCATTGCATAATGATAAAGGGATCAATTCAACAAGAAGAGCTAACTATCCTAAATATATATGTACCCAATGCAGGAGCACCCAGATTCATAAAGGAAGTCCTTAGAGACCTACAAAGAGACTTAGACTCCCACACAATAATAATGGGAGACTTTAACACCCCACTGTCAACATTAGACAGATCAACGAGACAGAAAGTTAACAAGGATATCCAGGAATTGAACTCAGCTCTTCACCAAGTGGACCTAATAGACATCTACAGAACTCTCCACCCCAAATCAACAGAATATACATTCTTCTCAGCACCATATCGCACTTATTCCAAAACTGACCACATAGTTGGAAGTAAAGTACTCATCAGCAAATGTAAAAGAACAGAAATTATAATAAACTGTCTCTCAGACCACAGTGCAATCAAACTAGAACTCAGGATTAAGAAACTCACTCAAAACTGCTCAACTACATGGAAACTGAACAACCGGCTCCTGAATGACTACTGGGTACATAACAAAACGAAGGCAGAAATAAAGATGTTCTTTGAAACCAACAAGAACAAAGACACATCATACCAGAATCTCTGGGACACATTTAAAACAATGTGTAGAGGGAAATTGTTGGGAACAGGCCCCCCAAAATTTGGCCATAAACTGGCCCCAAAACTAGCCATAAACAAAATCTCTGCAGCACTGTGACATGTTCATGAAGGCCATGATGCCCACGCTGGAAGGTTGTGGGTTTACCGGAATGAGGGTAAGCAACACCTGGCCCACCCAGGGCAGGAAACCCCTTAAAGGCATTCTTAAACCACAAACAATAGCATGAACAATCTGTGCCTTAAGGACATGATCCTGCTGCAGATAACTAGCCAGACCCATCCCTTTATTTTGGCCCATCCCTTCATTTCCCATAAGGAATACTTTTAGTTAATCAAATATCTATAGAAACAATGCTAATGACTGGCTTGCTGTTAATAAATACGTGGATAAATCTCTGTTTGGGGCTCTCAGCTCTGAAGGCTGTGAGACCCCTGATTTCCCACTTCACACCTCTATATTTCTGTGTGTGTGTCTTTAATTCCTCTAGCATCGCTGGGTTAGGGTTTCCCCGACCGAGCTGGTCTTAGCAGAAATTTATAGCACTAAATGCCCACAAGAGAAAGCAGGAAAGATCTAAAATTTACCCTCTAACATCACAATTAAAAGAACTAGAGAAGCAAGAGCAAACACATTCAAAAGCTAGCAGAAGGCAAGAAATAACTAAGATCAGAGCAGAACTGAAGGAGACAGAGACACAAAAAACCCTTCAAAAATTCAATGAATCCAGGAGCTGGTTTTTTGAAAAGATCAACAAAATTGATAGACTGCTAGCAAGACTAATAAAGAAGAAAAGAGAGAGGAATCAAACAGATACAATAAAAAATGATAAAGGGGATATCACCACCGATCCCACAGAAATATAAACTACCATCAGAGAATACTATAAACACCTCTACGCAAATAAACTAGAAAATCTAGAAGAAATGGGTGAATTCCTGGACACACACACCCTCCCAAGACTAAACCAGGAAGAAGCTGAATCCCTGAATAGACCAATAACAGGCTCTGAAATTGAGGCAATAATTAATAGCCTATCGACCAAAAAAAGTCCAGGACCAGACCGATTCACAGCCGAATTCTACCAGAGGTACAAAGAGGAGCTGGTACCATTCCTTCTGAAGCTATTCCAATCAATAGAAAAAGAAGGAATCCTCCCTAACTCATTTTATGAGGCCAGCTTCATCCTGATACCAAAGCCTGGCGGAGACACAACAGAAAAAGAGAATTTTATACCAATATCCCTGATGAACATCGATGCAAAAATCCTCAGTAAAATACTGGTAAACCAAATCCAGGAGCACATCAAAAAGCTTATCCACCACGATCAAGTTGGCTTCATCCCTGGGATGCAAGGCTGGTTCAACATATGCAAATCAATAAATGCAATCCATCATATAAACAGAACCAAAGACAAAAACCACATGATTATCTCAATAGATGCAGAAAAGGCCTTTGACAAAATTCAACAGCCCTTCATGCTACAAACTCTCAATAAAATAGGTATTGATGGGACATACCTCAAAATAATAAGAGCTATTTATGACAAACCCACAGCCAATATCATACTGAATGGGCAAAAACTGGAAGCATTCCCTTTGAAAACTGGCACAAGACAGGGATGCCCTCTCTCACCATTCCTATTCAACATAGTGTTGGAAGTTCTGGCCAGGGCAATCAGGCAGGAGAAAGAAATAACGTGTATTCAATTAGGAAAAGAAGAAGTCAAATTGTCCCTGTTTGCAGATGACATGATTGTATATTTAGAGAATCCCATTGTCTCAGCCCAAAATCTCCTCAAGCTGATAAGCAACTTCAGCGAAGTCTCAGGATACAAAATCAATGTGCAAAAATCACAAGCATTCCTATACACCAATAACAGACCAACAGAGAGCCGAATGAGTGAATTCCCATTCACAATTACTACAAAGAGAATAAAATACCTAGGAATCCAACTTACAAGGGATGTGAAGGACCTCTTCAAGGAGAACTACAAACCACTGCTCAATGAAATAAAAGAGGACAGAAACAAATGGAAGAACATTCCATGCTCATGGATAGGAAGAATCAATATTGTGAAAATGACTATACTGCCCAAGGTAATTTATAGATTCAATGCCATCCCCATCAAGCTACCAATGACTTTCTTCACAGAATTAGAAAAAACTACTGTAAAGTTCATATGGAACCAAAAAAGAGGCGGCATTGCCAAGACAATCCTCAGCCAAAAGAACAAAGCTGGAGGCATCATGCTACCTGACTTCAAACTATACTACAAGGCTACGGTAACCAAAACAGCATGATACTGGTACCAAAATAGAGATATAGACCAATGGAACAGAATAGAGCCCTCAGAAATAATACCACACATCTACAACCATCTGATCTTTGACAAACCTGGCAAAAACAAGCAATGGGGAAAGGATTCCCCATTTAATAAATGGTGCTGGGAAAACTGGCTAGCCACATGTAGAAAGCTGAAACTGGATCCCCTCCTTACACCTTATACAAAAATTAATTGAGGATGGATTAAAGACTTAAATGTCAGACCTAAACCCATAAAAACCCTAGAAGAAAACCTAGGCAGTACCATTCAGGACATAGGCATGGGCAAGGACTTCATGACTAAAACACCAAAAGCAATGGCAACAAAAGCCAAAATTGACAAATGGGATCTAATTAAACTAAAGAGCTTCTGCACAGCAAAAGAAACTACCATCAGAGTGAACAGGCAACCTACAGAATGGGAGAAAATTTTTGCAATCTACCTATTTGACAAAGGGCTAATATCCAGAATCTACAAAGAACTTAAACAAATTTACAAGAAAAAAATCAAACAACCCCATCAAAAAGTGGGCAAAGGATATGAACAGACACTTCTCAGAAGAAGACATTTATGCAGCCAACAGACACATGAAAAAATGCTCATCATCACTGGCCATCAGAGAAATGCAAATCAAAACCACAATGAGATACCATCTCACACTAGTTAGAATGGTGATCATTAAAAAGTCAGGAAACAACAGGTGCTGGAGAGGATGTGGAGAAATAGGAACAGTTTTACACTGTTGGTGGGAGTATAAACTAGTTCAACCATTGTGAAAGACAGTGTGGTGACTCCTCAAGGATCTAGAACTAGAAATACCATTTGACCCAACCATCCCATTACTGGGTATATACCCAAAGGATTATAAATCATGCTGCTATAAAGACACATGCACACATATGTTTATTGAGGCACTATTCACAATAGCAAAGACTTGGAACCAACCCAAATGTCCATCAATGATAGACTGGATTAAGAAAATGTGGCACATATACACCATGGAATACTATGCAGCCATAAAAAAGGATGAGTTCATGTCCCTTGCAGGGACATGGATGAAGCTTGAAGCCATCATTCTGAGCAAACTATCGCAAGGACAGAAAACCAAATACCTCATGTTCTCACTCACAGGTGGGAACTGAACAACGAGAACACTTGGACACAGGGTGGGGAATATCACACACCAGGGCCTGTTGTGGGGTGGGGGGAGGGGGGAGGGATAGCATTAGGAGATATACCTAATGTAAATGATGAGTTAACGGGTGCAGCACACCAGCATGGCACATGTATACATATGTAACAAACCTGTACATTGTGCACATGTACCCTTGAACTTAAAGTATGATAAAATAAAATAAAATAATTTGAAAAAGCATGTTTGAACCTAAAACAAGAAAAATTTTAATGCTTGTGAGAAAAACGAAGAAGCCCAGCATCATTGGTGCTAAGAGACATGGAGGACAGTGGCATGAAATGAGGCTGGGGAGGCAGGCAGGGTCCAGCCATATTAAGGGAGTCCCCCAATGTGCACACTTGATCCTAATACAGTGGAGTTCAGAGTTAGGGTGAACTTTATAAAAGCAGAGCTGGGACTGGTTACCTGGGTTCAATCCTATGAGCTAAAAGAGCTCTGGGGTGAAGGCTGATTTACCAGCATGTGGCTGAGTCTGGAAGCCCCTTTGCATGCAGTCACCCTGGCATGGGAGATATGGTTTAGGAAGAGGATGAACATCGGCCAACAGAGCTATAATCGTGGCTATCCTGTAGCCAAGTGTCCCACTACAGGCATGCAATTCTCTCTGAAGGACCCGCCACCACCATGGCCAGTGCAGGGGATGTGGACCAACCAAGGATATCACGGAAGTGTTAGACAGGAATGGGCCAGTCAAATGTGCCCAGCCTACAAATGGGATGCCATGGGACAGTCAATGATGGCCAAAAGGATGGACTCAATGATGGCCTGGCATACTCTCAAGTTCTCCCTTTGCTTGGCATTTGAATGCCAGATCGACTCCTTTGAATTAGGCCTAAAAGGGATATTGAACACCTTCTAATCTGAACAGACTGAAGCTCCAGTGGTTATTGTGAATATTAAAAAAGAGGCAGGCTTCATTTTTATTCCAAGCTGGTGAAGCTGGCCATACAAGTTTCACTAAACTAAAGGATAGAACGCCATCAAACACATTTAGCAAGGACGTGTCAACATCAGAATTATATTTCTAAAAGATTATTCTGAATACTGTGTGAGGAATAAATTAAGGGAGAGGAAGAGAACAAAGACAGGGAGATTTTATTAGTTAGAAATGCTTTCAGCTTCATGTAATAGAATACCCAACATAGCTTAAAACCTGTAATGACATTGTTTACCCATAGGAAATCAGGAAATAAGACCTCCTCAGGGATGGCATTGTTAGAAACCCAGGCTTTATCCATTCTTCTGCACCACCATCCTCCACATATTGGCTATGTATGCTTTTGCTTATTCCCTCATTGTAGCAAGATGACTGCCTCAGCTCCAGACCCAATAATCATGTTCAAGGCAGGGAGAAGGGGGAGGGGACAGTACTAGACACCTTCTATTCTTTTTCTCAGTAAAGCAAAACTTTCCCAGGAGCCCATCGTAGATGTCTTTTTACATTTCATTGGTCAAAACTGGGTCACACTGCCCCTCTAATTGCAAGCAAGGCTGGAAAATTTAGTATCTGGCAAAGAGGAACAATGTTCTTCATAACGACTCAGTACCTAGATCTAGGCACATGGCTGCCTGAAGCCATGTAGGGGTTCTTACAGGCAAGTAAATAGGGAAATTATGTTGGGTAGGAAATAAATAATGATGGTCACAGAGGCTAGAGATGATGGCCTGGACTAAGAGGGTGACATTGAAGATAGAGATGTTTAAGAGTTGTAAGTTACAGAGCTTGATGATGGGATGTGGAGAATGAAGAAGAGGAAGAAGCCAAGTATGATTTCCAGTTTTCAGCTTGGGCAGCCAATAGATTATGATGTCATTTACTAAGACAGAGAACACAAGGAAGAAACACAGGTATGGAGAAGATGAATAGCCTACTTTTAGACATTTTGAGTTTGAAGGGTCTGTATATATCTAAGTATTAATATCAAATATGGAGGTGGGTAGATGGCTGTGGAGTGTAGGAGAAAGGTCTGGGCTATAGGGATGGACCTGAGTGTCACTGGAGGCCATGGGAATGGATGAGTTTATTAGAGAGGATGCTTTGGGTTGCACAGAAAGAAATGTAACCTGAACAAGGTTAAGGAGAGAAAAAGGACATTTTTGGGTCACACAGCAGAACACACATGGGATGGGGCTGAATTTTGGCATAAGAACACGTAGCACTCACACACGGAGGCTGGGTTTCTCTCTTACCCCCAGCTCTGCTTTAGTTTATCTTTTATAAGATAAGCCATTCTTGGGTATATTATTTCACTGTATCCTCAGGATTATCCTTTGAAGCAAGTATATTATTGTCCCCATTTTAAAGATGAAAAACAAAAGCCTAACAGAGTGGCGTTTTGTCATTCAAGAGAAGAGCCATATTCAGATTTGTAGTCTGCAAGGGACACTAATCTTTGACCCTCAGAGCTCCTGAATCTTTGGCCACAGTCATAAAGGGCCTTTTGATGAAACTGTAAACTGTGTCCTTCCTGCTCTCCTGTGGCCTAGCATGACTGATGATTGTCTCTGTCTTGCAGCAACTCACTGAAGGTCAGCAAATGCTGACAAACACAATTTTAGTTCCCAGCATTTTTCTATAAGTCCTCTAAGTCACTGCTCCAAGAGTTGTTTGACTTTGTTTAACATGGGAATGATTTAAGAACATATTAAAAAGTGAATAAGATCCAAGAGAGCAGAAAAGTTTGAAGATACAGGAAACAGAGGTGAGGAGGTGACAGGGCATGGGATCCATAGCACCAGTGGAAAGATTGGCTGCCCACAGTCATCTCTCCTTGTAACAGCAAGGCTGGAGAGGAGGATGGGTAAGGACGCAGGGGAGATGTGCGTATTTATGTTGGCTCTGTCTACCCCATTTCAATCCTCTTCTATATTACCTTCCTCTAGTATAAGGGCTGGAAAGGAAAATGCTTAAATGTCTAGTGTCCCTTGCAGCTAGTGATGTTCATGAGATGAGTTCTACTCAAAGGGAGGGGGAGCTATCCCCGAGGAGGCCTTCCCTTCCTGAATAATCAGAGCCAAGGCCTTCTAGCAGTGGGCTTTTCCCTCTCCCTGACCATTTTCACCCTCTTCTTGACTGGAAATTTAGCAGTTACTTTGCAAACATGAGGAGAAAGGCTAAACACTGAGGATGATAGAACAGAAAAAGAGAAAGAGCCTGGTACCTTAATGACCTCCTTGAGCAGCTGTACCTGCCCGGGACTGCCCACCCCCAGACTTCTTGTTGCATGGAAGGGACAGAAACAAAGAAACAAAGAAACAAGGAAGGGCAGGGAGGGGGAGGGGAGGGGAGGAGAGAAGGAAGGTAGAAAGGATGGTAAGAAAAGGAAAGAAAGGTGAGGGGAGGGGAGGGGGAAAGGGGAGGGGATGGGAGGGAAGGGGAAGAAAGGGAAGGGGAGGGAAGGGGAAGGAAGGGGAGGGAAGGGGAAGGAAGGGGAGGGAAGGGGAAGGAAGGGGAGGGAAGAAAAGAACTTTCTTGGTTAGGCCACAATTTGTCAAGATTTCCTTTACCCATAACTAAATATGAATCTGACTGATGTATCCCCTAGGGGTATATCTTGGATGTCTCCTTTCTTTCATAGGGACACCACTCCCCTGGCAGCTATGGACATAATATTGATAGCAGTAGATGCTGGGGCTCAGTGGGGCACCCCAGAGAACACATGGGTGTCAGACTCCATTAGAAGTTCCACTGGAGAGCAGTAGGTGTTGGGGTGGCAGAGTCAGAGGACTCCCCCTTCAGTAAGAATGATGAAGACAAGAGAAAGCAGAGAAGCATGTGGTGTGCAGAGAGGGCAGTTGACTAGGGTCAGTTCACTTGGTCCTAACCCTAGGCCTGCTACTGACCTGCTGCGTGACCTATCTGGGCCTCATGCTTCTCATCTATGGAAAGAAAGATTTGGGGGAACCAGTGGTTCCCAATTTTTTTAACATCAAAAAGAAGGATCCCATATTTTGAAAAATTGTACCCACCAAACTGCATTTATCAAATAATTTATTTTTCCATGAGGACACTGTGTTGATATAATTCTAGCCAAAAGCAAAGAAAAGCAACCATTTACTTTAGCCTATTCAATCTTACCATATGATGAAAATTCCACGAGTTCTTTGGAGAAATTGAAAGTGTCTCTCAGGTCCCCATGATTACTTTTAAGGACTCGGAGTGACCCAGGGTTGCCCTACAGCAGCCACTGGCCTGGGAGAGCCCAGAGGTCCAACTCTACCTTCCATGATGCTGGAGCCCTGAGCCCCAGGTGAGACAGCATAGGTACCTTTTCCATCCTGCTCCCAGGCTCAGTTCTGACTTCTGGTGCCAAGAGCTGCCTCACGAGTTTTAGGAAAAACAAGCCTGTCCAGATGGCACATTCCCACTGGTCTAAAGAAGCCTCGTTTGTCCTGCCAGCCCTCCTCAAAGGCAACCTTCCTCCACTCACCCCTCCTCCGTCCTCACCCCAGGAAAGAGCTGTCTAACCTCAACCTTCATCCCAGTTACCTTGCTGTGCGACCTTTGTTATCTGCAAGTAACCTGGAGGTCCTCGCATCCAGTCTGAGGAACAGGCTCTGAGCCTTTCCCTCTAGCATCCCTGACTATTGGTGAAGAGGAAGAGGCAGAGACTATCAATCCAGTTGATTAAAGGCTGTAATGGAATATCCAATATTCCATTGGAGAACGGAATGATGAATTCTGCTTTGACATGCAAAAGGGCAGGGAGAAGTAAAAGAGGAGGTATTGTCCGAGTTAGGGCCTGAAGGGTTAAGGGAGAAGCCAGAGGAGTCCCACAACAGAACATTGGGCTGAGCTGGGAAAGGACAGGGCTTGCATCCTGGTTAGCAACTCATTTGGTTGAGTTTACTTAAGGCCTCCCTTCCTCTCTTCTGCCCACAAATATTTATTGGCATCTTTTTTGTGCCACGTGCCCTGTTAGGTGGGAGAAACAAATATGAATAAGACATTCCTTTCCTTGAAGGAGCTTGTAGATTACTGGGAAGACAAACATGTAGAACTTCCTCCAGCCCTGGTCCTACATAGAGGACATACCTTCAAGGAGACATACCATAGATCCCAGAGTAGCATCTTGCTTGACCCCTTCATGATGCCAAGCAGCCTGCCACCGAGCCTAGAAACAGCCTCAACATCTTACCTCCAGGGCTCTCTTACAGTCTGTCCCATCTTGATGGTTGAAGAGATACTGAGTCTTCTCTGTCTGCTCTGAAAGCTGTAGAATTTTCCTGGCTGAAGGCTGGAGACTGAGCCAGATGACACTGTCTGCTCCAAGAGTCTATGGTGGGGGGAGGGGTTCTAAAGAAGCCTCAGAACTTGCCCTTCCCCTCAGACAGTCTTAAGGAGGGCAGAAGGAGGGACCCTTAGGAGGCCAAGCTACATCTGCTCTCCTAATTGTTTCTATTAATAGAAGAGGTGATAGGATAGTTTTCCCTTGTGCCTCACTGCCCTGGAGTCTAGATCTGGACAGAGGACAGGGGACAAACTTATGGAGTATGGGCAGTTGATGGAGAGGCCATGGGGGAAATATCACAAAATAATCCTCAGAGTGCTATGACCCTGGTAGATCTTGGGGGAAAGAGGCCAATGCTGATCAGTTCTTTTCAATCATCTCTACCAGGCATCTCCGAAGATCAGGTGCTCCTGTGAGGAGTTACCAGGAAGAGGAAGGCTCATTCCTTCAAGGTGCTCACATCGAAGTTGCTGAGACTAATATACAATGAGCATGTAGGTAAAGAGAATTGGCCACGCGTGGTGGCTCATGCCTGTAATCCCACCTATGGGAGGCTGAGGTGGGTGGATCACCTGAGGTCAGGAGATCGAGACCAGGCTGACCAACATGGAGAAACCCCTTCTCTACTAAAAATACAAAATTAGCCAGGCATGGTGGCGCATGCCTGTAATCCCAGCCACTCGGGAGGCTGAGGCAGGAGAATCGCTTGAATCCGGGAGGCGGAGGTTGTGGTGAGCCGAGATCATGCCATTGAACTCCAGCCTGGGCAACAAGAGCGAAACTCCGTCTCAAGAAAAAAAAAAGAAAAAAGAGAGAGAGAACTGCCCTGGGAGAGGAATTAGGGGCAAACTGAGCACAGAGGGAGGAAGGAGCCTATCCAGCCAGGATGATTAGAAATGGAGGGAGAGGTCGGGTGAGGTGGCTCATGCCTGTAATCCCAGCACTTTGGGAGGCAGAAGTGGGAGGATTGCTTGAGCCCAGAAGTTCAAGACCAGCTTGGGCCACAAAACAAGCCCCCATCTCTCTTTAAATAAGTAAATAAATAAATAAATTTATATATTTAGATAAGCCATTGTATCGGTTAGGACTGCATTTGGCTGCATGTAACAGAAACCTGACTACGAGGTTTAAACAAATAGAGGTTTATTTGTCTCTTGTTATAAGAAGTGTGGAGATAGGACGGTGCAAACCTCAAGATGTCATGAAGGACCTAGGCTCCTTCTGTCTTCCAGGCCAGCATCCTTAACATGTGGTCTTTATCCTCTTGGTTATAAATTGGCTACTCTACCCCCAGGCTTAGACTTTCCAGGGAGCAAGAAGGGGAAAAACAAAACACACATGCCAGACACAGGCCAGCTGTCTCTTCCTTTTTTATTTTAAGGAAATTAAAAGATAAAAATAAATATTAAAAAATAGCTGGGCATGGTGCCGTGTGCCTGTAGTCCCAGCTACTTGGAAGGCTGAGGTGGGAGGATTGTTTGAGCCCAGAAGTTTGAGGCTGCAGTGAGCCGAGATCATGCCACTGCACTCCAGCCTGGGTGACAGAGCGAGACCCTGTCTCCAAAATAAGTAAATACATAAATCCCATTGGCTAGAACTGTGTTACATTATCACTTCTAGCAACGAGGGAGCCTGGAAGCAATATTTTTAGGATGGCATATTGATCTCCCTTCCTTAAACAAAATCAATGGACTGTAAATGAAGAAGGGGAGAAGAGATGAAGGTTATGCAACAAGCAATGTCTGCCATGGCCCTAAAGAATGAGTAGAATATGCTGGACGATGTGGGGAAGGACTTCCAGGCAGGGGAAACAGCAAGAGCAAAATCTCAGTGTGGGATGGGAGGGTGCCAGGTGTGTTTGGGGAATTGGAAACAGCCCAATTGGAGCAGACGATGTCATCTAGTTCAGTTGGAGCTTAGTGGGAAGGATGGACAGGGCAGTTTGCATGGCCTGGGTTTGTGGACTTGCCCTCCTGCCCAAACTCATACTCTGTGGTGCAGTGGATCAGGTGATGGGGGACCAGTAACAGCAGACAGTGAGCAACATCTGAAAAAGTCAGGTTCAGCTGCAACAGTAGACAGTGATTGGAATTCAGAGAAAAGCAAACTATGACACATCTCCTGACAGCCTGGCAATGACAGGCACAGGGCAGAAGCCTGCTGGCCTGGACTGATGGGCACACTCAAGCCAAAACAGACCCCCGCAAGATAACCTATTGTCCTGAGTAAACAGCTGAATGAGATCCATGCAGCAGCCTCTTGTCTAAGGTCTGTTTATTATTGTTATTCTCCCTCCCCACGTCTGTCTTCTCTGTCTCAGCTCTTCCAGGCTGCAGTAACCAGCTGCAGGATCATGCAGAGCAGACAGGCTGTGCAAAGGGGTTGGTGTGGAGGGTGCAGATTCCAGCTCTAGGGTGTGTGACAGCTCTTTATTTGACTCTTCCTGGAAGTTCCTGAGATGACCTCTATACAAAGAGAGGGGAGGGGGCTGCAGCTACCCTATGCTGTACCTACATCATAGATTCCCAGCTTCCTTGACTGGGAGGCACTTCAGAGGTCTTGGACTCCATCTGTCTACCATCAGCAAACCTATCTAAACTGCTGGCTCTGAAGCTTAATGTACATATGAGTCACCTCACCTTGTGAGCTTATTAAGAATACATTTCCTTTTCTAGCTCTTGGGAACTTGGTAAGGAAAGAAAAAAGAATACATTTCCAAGGCTCATCCCCAAGGACTCTGATTCCCTAGCTCTGTGGAGTCTAGGAATCTGCATTTTACCAAGGCACACAGGAGAGTCTGATGCGATTGGTTGGTTCTCAGCCACGCTGTTTTAAAAAACTTTTCACAAATATATATCCCTAGGTTTCAGTTCCAGTTCTGCCACTAACTATGATCTTAGACAATTCATTTTACCTCTCTGAATCTGTTTCTTCACCTAAAAATGAAAAACCTTTTCAGTTTAAATCATTTTTTGTTAACATTCTCAGGCAGTTACACTTCAGCATCATTTTAGGTGGGTAATTCTCAAATAGGTTTTCATGTGGGGTGTTTGTTCTCTGAGAAGAGCCTCCTGGAGATTCTGAGTGCCCTGCCATGGGGCTTGCCCACTTCCCTTTCCTAGATTTCAGAACACTTCAAATCGCCACATTCATGCCATTCCATAGCAGTTTAGATTTGTCATTTGTGCCTCAATAGCAGTCCACGAGGGTCTGAGCCCAGAACCTGGACTCATGTTTGGTTGCTGATTCTAATTTCTGTTCCCCCAGATGGAATCCCTCACCTTCCCTTGGGAACCACTTTCTGTGTGGACTTTCCTCAGTGCGGCTCATTTCTTCCTGCTGGCCTCTGAGGCGGTGGGATCAACAGGTCAATGTCTTGCTCCACATCTGTCACGGGGCTTCTGGCCTCCCCTCAGCCTCCCCTTTCTTCTTCTGTCCCCTTCTGACCTCTGTGTCCTTCGCATTACTTTTTGGGGACCTTCTTCAGTTTCTCACATGTTATTAAAGGCCAGGACCAAGGAGTTAGGGGCTAGGAGGGGTAGAGCATTATTTAAGAGGCAGGGAGTAAGGTTCTAATACCACTTTGATCAGCCCCCATCCAATCAGTTCTTGGTTTCTGGAAAAGTGCAATCCCTTCGATTCATGGGGTGCTAGGGCTACAATGTGCCAGGTCTGTCCTGCAGACCCCGGCTGACAGATGAAATGAGTACTCAGACATAGGTATGCAATGTAAGAGCAGCCAGAGGACTGCCTGGTGCAAGTGGCCAGAGCGCAGCCCTGGGAAGCTGGAGCTGCTTGCTTTTATTCAGGGCAGGTGCAATGCTGAAAACCTGGAGCCAACACAACCTGAAGGTAATTAACATTTATTGTTCCCCTTTCAGGGAACTTCACATGCAGGGATGATCAAAGGTCAGTTCCTGGTCAACATAACAAGATTGTTTAAGATCAATTCCCCCCACACTCCCTTGTATCTACTCCTTGCCCTCTGTCTCAGGGTTATAGAACAGCTGCTTCCAGCTATTCTCCCCAGGGGCTCTGCAGACCCTTCCAACCTTTCAGAAGGTTTGTGTCCTTTCCCTATAGTTTTTCCCACCACTCTGAGTGATCCCCTACATCTCTCCCTTTTCTGTTTTTTGCATCAGGTTTAGTTGATTGAAGCGTACAGATGTGTGCAGCGACAGGTTTGACAGGTGCAGCGGTTACAGCTTGTGTTCCAGCTTTGCATCCTTACAAGAGTTGCAATGTACAACAGACAGCATAGCAAGGAACAGATTATCTGGAGTGAATGGTGTCTGTGATTCACTTAGCCTCCTGAGTTGTCTTATTTAGCATCCCCCAGTTGTCTATTTCACATTCCCCATCCGGGACCTGTGTTGTCCGAGGAAGCTGCATTGTCCGGGGCTGCGGGTCCTACAGGCTCACATTCTTCATTTCCAGTACTGCATTGGGTCCCAGCCATGCCATGGTATGGTTTGATGCATTGCACTGGAATCCCAAGAGGACCTGAGGGGATGTGAACACAAGCATATCCTCTTCCCCATGTTAGCAAATCATGTGGACTGCACCATAGATTACTATTTACATCTTTCCATAACACTGAAGGCTTTGTATCTTGGGAGGTTTTAGCAAAGTGCTTTTCTATGGCTGATTGAAATTTATTATCTAAATTTAAGAAATTAAGGGTGAATAAGACTTGTGCTAGTAGTGTTGTAGGGTCCTTATTCATATTCCCCCTTTTTTTAAAGCATATTTTTAAGCGTGGAATGGGCACGTTCCACTATGGCTTGTCCTTGAGGGTTATACGAGATACCCGTGGAATGGTCGATGTTCCATGTGTGCTCTTAATTGCCTGGGTTAACTGATGGATAAATTCAATAAATGGCTCCTGTGGCCCTTGTTGAACATTTACAAAAGATCCCTGTTGAACTCTGCCTTCGGGAATTTGGTCCTAAGCCCTGAAGATGCATAAGGACACTTGTGCATAGGCTTGGGGGACAAAATTTAATTGTTGTTGTACATTAACATAGGGACCCCTCCCCTGGAGCATAGCAGCCGATGTTTTGTCCAGGCAATTGATTCTGGTTAGCCTGTTGTTCACACAATTCATCATATTCTGCCCTCCAGAGGGGGTATTGACTCGCCTCCTAAAGTTGTTTTAGCTAGCACTGACCAGTCCCATGGAGTCATATGGTAGTTATCTGCTATTGCCTCAATTAATCCTCTTGTGAATGGGCTAGTGGCCCCATTTTCTCTAATGCTTTTTCTTATTTCCTTAGAAGTGTTCAATGTAATGGGCTCATGCACCCAATTGCCTTGTTGATCTTGCATCACTGGGCAGGCCAAGAGTTCCCCTTCCAATGCTGCTTGCCTAAGGCAGGGTCCCATAACTGTAGTATATCGCTTGTCTTCTTCCCAGTTCATTGGGGGGAGGGGGAGGAAAACCTCCGTCTCCTCTTTGGTATCTTTAGCCAGTGACGGCAAGGCTGAGGGAGGCTGAGGCATTAAAGTGGGTAGTGGTTCCTCTTCCCTTATCTTTTTGGGCTCTTCTATGAAGAGCAGGGCCAAAGCAACCCTATTAGGACCATAACATTAAGATGTTACTGGGACCTACTGCCCTTGCGCACGTCGTTTAAGATTTCTTCCCACTTGTTCCCAGAGCTCTAGGTCTAGTGTACCTTCTTCTGGAAACCATGGGTTATGGAAAACAACAGTTTGCATCAGGTCCTTTAATTGGATCTCTGAGACTGAGGCTCTGCTAGCTTTAGGCAATTGTTTCAATACACTGTTGCTGTTGAGGGGATAACTGTTGTCCCATGATGAAACCCTAGCTGGAAAATCCCCTCAAACTTGGAAATCCCCAGCGGGCACCGATTACTTACTGCGCAGTCACTTCACGTTCATTTTCGAGGGTTCCATCATGATCCACTGCGCTGCTCCTCACACGGGGCACCACCTGCCTAGTCTGTCCCACAGACCCTGACTGGTGGATGAACTGAGTACTCAGACACAGGTATACAGTGTAAGAGCAGCTCAAGTGGCCGGAGTTCAGCCCCGAGAACTGGAGCTGCTTGCTTTTATTCAGTGCAGGCACAATGCCAAAAACCTGGAGCCAACACAACCTGTAGGTAATTAACATTTATTGTTCCCCTTTCAGGGAACTTCATGTGCGCAGATGATCAAAAGTCAGTTCCTGGTCAACATAACAAGCTTGTTTAAGATAAAATCCCCCACACTCCCTTGTACCTGCTCCTTGCCCTCTGCCTCAGGGTTATAGAACAGCTGCCCTCAGTCATTCTCCCCCAGGGCTCTGCAGAACCTTCTGACCTTTCAGAAGTTTTGCATCCTTTCCCTGTAGTTTTTCCCACCACTCTGAGCGATCCCCTATGACAGTGCAGATGTCAGCCAGGCACAGTGGCTCACGCCTGTAATCCCAGCACTTTGGGGGGCCGAGGTGGGTGGATAGCAAGGTCAGGAGTTCAAGACCAGCCTGGCCAAAATGGTGAAGCCCCACTTCTACTAAAAATACAAAAAAAATTAGCCGGGCACAGTGGCAGGCACTTGTAATCCCAGCTACTCGGGAGGCGGAGGCAGGAGAATCGCTTGAACCCGGGCAGAAGAGGTTGCAGTGAGCCGAGATCACGCCCCTGCACTCTAGCTGGGCGATAGAGTGAGACTCCGTCTCAAAACAAACAAACAAACAAACAAACAAAAAAGCAATGCAGATGTCTTGATCCGCCTCTAGAAAAATGCCAGAATAGAAGGACCAAGTGACTGACACACCTACTCCAGAAAACCCTCTATAACGTCCCTGCAGGAAGTTGAGCATTCCCAGGTACAGAAAACTCATTACAACTCATAACCTCTCTGGCACTCTGATCAATTATTAGGCAGTTTCACTGATGAAAAGGAAATAAAATCTTCCTTGTGTTTTAATAACAGGCACTACGGAGCACCTTCTCTATACCAGGGACTTTGCTGGGCACTATTCAGAAAGAACCCACTGAATTTGGGATTCGGTGGTTTTGTTTGGTTCTATTATTTTCATTTTACAGATGAGGACACTGATAACAAGAGGGTTTTAGTAACTTGCCCACAGTCTCAAGGCTAGTAAATGGCACTGCTGGTATGAGAGATTAGAACCCCAAGCCTGGGCTTCTTCCACTGCATTAGAGTTACTTGACCTTGGCACTCTGATATTTGGGGCTGGATGATTCTTTGCTGTGGAGGGTTATTGTCCTGTGCACTGTGGAATGTGTAGCAGCAGCATCCCTGGCTAGATACCCCCCTAGATATCAGTAGCACCTCACCTTCCAGTTGTGACAACCAAAATTGTCTCCAGACATTGCCAAATGCCCTCTTAGGGAAAGGGGAAAACACCCCTGGTTACTTTGTCTGCACTGCATCACATGTTGTCTTTCTCTTTTGAGCTAAAATATTTTCCTCCCACCCAGTGGCCTTGGGTCTCCCCACTGGAGTCACAGGGAGGATCTACTTTGTCTTTATTTCCATCAGTCCTGGCCGAGTGTGGTGGCTCACGCCTGAGATCTCAACATTTTGGGAGGCTGGGGTGGGAGGATTGCTTGAGCTCAGAAGTTCAAGACCAGCCAACATAATGAGACCCTGTCCTTACAAAAAAAAAATTTTTTAATTAGCTGGGCATGGTGGTGCACACCTGCAGTCCCAGCTACTCAAGAGGTTGAGGCAGGAGGATTGCTTGACCCCAGGAGTTCAAGGCTGCAGTGAGCTATGATCATACTATTGCACTCCAGCCTGGATGACAGAGCAAGACCTTGTCTATAAATAAATAAATGAATCCATCAGTCCTTCAAATAATGACAAGGGTGTCGCTTGTCTCCAAGTCTCTTCTCCAGCTCAAACTCCAAATTTCCTTCACCCTTTCCCAGTACACTATGATTTCTAGGCCTTTCACCATGCTGGTTACTCTCTACTGATAAGCATCAGTTGCAGGGAGAATTGGGCTACACAAAATAAGAACTCTTCCTTATGGCTCCTCCTTTCCTCCTCTATTAGAAGCAACCCAGCTCAGCTATCATTTCCTTTGTAAAGTGCTTGCTATTTCTACTCTACTATAGGGTTGGTGTTTTCCTCCTTTGATCCCCATTACCCCTTTTTCCACCTTAAATCCTCATCATTTGTTTATTCTGTCTCCCTATCCAAGGTTTTATCTCCTCCAGGTCTAATTTGCTATCACATCCCTCTAAGTGCCTAGCATAATGCCCAACACATAGTAGGCTCTCACTAAAAGTCTGATGAATAGATGGGTCTATACTGATAGCATGTAATGAGTATTGGGTTTATAGAGGCAAAGTCCTTTGAAAAGATACAAAGCATTATACAAATATAAAGTGTTTGTACTTTTCTTTTCTTTTTTTTCTTTTTTTGAGACAGAGTCTCGCTCTGTCGCCTAGGCTGGAGTGCAGTAGCGCGATCTCGACTCACTGCAACCTCTGTCTCCCAGGTTCAAGTGATTCTCCTGCCTCAGCCTGCTGAGTAGCTGGGATTATAGGTATGCACAACCATGCCTGGCTAATTTTTTTTTTTTTGTATTTTTTTAGTAGAGACGGGGTTTCACCATGTTGGTCAGGCTGGTCTCGAAATCCTGACCTTGTGATCTGCCCGCTTCGGCCTCCCAAAGTGCTGGGCTTATAGGCGTGAGCCACTTTTCTTCTTCTCTTTCATCTCAGTCCCTCTCTCCCCCAGTCTTCTCCAAGGCATACCAACAGGTTGGCAGAGAAAATTAACCAAGAATTATGTGAGAAATGTGGAACTAGCAAAAGAAGGAACCTTCTAGAGAAGGAACCTTTTTTCCCTTCTCTAGTCTGAGCAGGTTGCTCCAGTGAGGGTTAATTTGTGGATTGCCAGTGTTAGAATCTAGAGAGATAGCTTCCTCTCTCTCCCTGCCCTCTGAGTTATTTGCAAGGCTACTTATTAGGGAAATTCAATCTCCCAAGAAACTACTGCCTGGAAAAATACCTTGCAGCATACATGGTGAACAAGGAGTGCATTAATGGAAGAGGGCGAGTGGTGGTGGGCACTGGACCAATGAGTCCATCAGTCCCAGAGGCTGGTACCAAAGGCACGTTGTTGTGCCTGGCTGGGGGTGTCTTTCCACCTCCACTCCCCTGGAATCCGGGAGGAATGCAGAATCAATGTGCTATTGCTTCCCAGGGCTTCTAGGTTTGGCTGTCCTTCTGGGCCTTTGCTAAATGCTGGGGTCACCTTGAAGTCCAGCTCCCCCCATGAACTGAGCCCAGTAGGTGCTTGGAGAATAGGGGAAGAAGTCATGGGATACACAGCCCCTGTCCTCAGGGAGCTCTTGGCCTAAGGTGGAGATCTACCTGCCCTTAGGAAGTTAGGAAGAGAGAATCCCACAGGAAGAAAGCTCAGTGATGCGTGCAGTTAAGCATAAACATCAAAGCCACCTGCTGCTGCTGTGAGATCAGTTCCAAGGTGGGGACAGAGACCTTGGAAAGGTCAGAGGAGGAGCATGAGTGGGGCGGAGCACAACCCCCCCTCAACCAATGTGGAAGGGGCTGTGTTGTTTCACCCAGCACAGACACAGTACGTGTGTGGGTGGAGGGGGAGGGAGTTGGGGGGTGCTACCCTTAGAGGCATGTGGGTACATACACACTCTGTGGGAGTGGAGAGGCCGGAGGGCCGTGTGGAGCGAGACATGTCTAGTCCACATTCTTCTCTGATCCGAGGTCAGGGAATGTGACAGGGCGGTTTGGAAAGAGGTCAGATCATAAAGTGGTGGGGCCTTGTGGACAGAGAGCTGGGCCATGGCCTGTGCCTTAGGCTTGTCACTGGCCAACCCACGAAGTGACTTTGAACAGGTCTCTCTGGCCCAGCATCTCAGAACTCAAAGCCAGCGCCTGACTTGGGAGACGGGAACCAGGATGGTTGTGCTGGATCGCCCTTGGGCCAAGCTGAGCCTCCTCGCCTCCCTCATCTCAGCCCAACTTGGCCTCTGCCTTTACCCAGGCTAGGGGCCACTCACCAGGAGGCAAGAAGACAGCAAAAGCAACATCCATGAATGTTTCTATGGCCACAAAAATGAACTTAGCATGCATCATGCTACCTCTTCCTCATCAAAATAAAAAGGAATTTGACAGGTGCCAACGGTTGCATCTAACAGGATGAGATTTAACAGGGATAAATGTCAGGCCCTGAACTTGGGTTTAAAAATTCAACTGCGTGAGCCCAGAATGATGAAGGCAGGACTCAGAAATGGAAGATGCAGGAAAGTTCTTGGGGTCTTAAGGGATGGTATGTTTCAAGGAGGTGGCAGAAATGAAATTGGCTCTTCAGCTATACAAATATTTACAGTATAGCACAATCTCATGCTATTCTCAAAATAACCTAGGGGAGAAGTACTACCTTATCCCCATTTTGCAGAAAAAGAAACTGAGGCACAGAGAGATTTAAGTAACTTACCTAAGATCTTGTGGTTAGCAAGTGGTACAGCCAGGATTAATCTGGACCCAGACCCTGAACCCTATGGGATGGAAGCATGGAATTTAGAACAGATGGGCAACAGTCATTCTCCACTCTGTGCTGACGAGAACCCATTTTCAGGAGTCTTCCATTTCATAGAATAAAAGAAGATCAGCACTTCATATCTTCATTTGAGGCAAAATGGAGCCTATTCAAAAGAGAGTGTTTAGGGATACTGAAGAAAGGAAACACCCTCTTTTCCTTAAATTCTTCATCTTCATCTTCCCAGGTGATCCAGCCTACAACATGGGGAGTCATCCTAGATTCCACCCTCAAATTCATTCCCCCACACCCACCCATTGCCAGCTCCTTGAGTCCCAGCAAGCTTAACACCCCCTAAAATCCTGAAAGCTTTCCTACACAATCCTAAGCCCCGCCTTCTACCTCCAAAATACACCTCGAGTTGACCCACTTCTAGCCATCCCCATGGCCACTTCTCCAATGTAAGGCAGCAGCAAGCCTCGCCTTGATCACTGCAGACCCCTTCTAACTACTCTCTCCAATCTCTCATCACCACACCTGAGTGCCAGATGGGCTCATCTAGCCAAATGGAATCATGCCACTCCACTGCTTAAAGCCCTTTCATCCTTTACATTCTACTTAGCATGTGATCCCACATCTTAAATCTGCACCCCCGTCCACCTCTTCTCTCATAGCCCCTCAGTCCTTGGCACTAGCCACATCAGCCTTCCTCCCATTTCTGCTACATGTTATGCCCCTGCTTGCCCAGGGCACCCACACATGCTGGTCCCTCTACCTGGAATGTTCTTTCCCACCACCCAAATCCTATACCTGCTCCTTCTCATCCTTCAGATTTGAGCTCAAAGGTGATTTCCCCATATAGACCTTTCTTAGCCCCCAACACCCCAAGTAGGTTTGCCCTGTTATTCTCTTGCAGTGTCTTATTTTTTGATTCTTTAGTAGTATACAGCATGATTTGACATTATGTATTGATATGTGCATTGACAATAAATCCCATGAGCACTGGGACCATTTTGTTTTGTTCACACAGCCAACCCAATGCCAAACACAGAGGCACATGGTAAGTGCTCAATAAATATTTACTGAGCAAATGAAGGGCTTGGAGAAGAAGAGGTCTAGGGAGCCTGTGAGGGCTATCCAGACCTGCAAGATAAGCTGGCAGCTGTGCAATCCCATATTTCAGAGCTGGGACCAATTTATTTAGCAAACGCTAACACAGGACTTACTACATATCAGGTACTGCTCTAAGCACTTCCTAAGTATTAATTCAATTAGGCTGGGCACGGTGGCTCACGCCTGTAATCCCAGCACTTTGGGAGGCCAAGGTGGGCAAATCACCTGAGATTAGGTGTTCCAGACCAGCCTGGCCAACGTGGTAAAACCCCGTCTCTACTAAAAGTACAAAAATTGGCCAGGCATTGTGGTGGCTGCCTGTAATCCCAGCTATTCGGGAGGCTGAGGTGGGAGAATCACTTGAACCCAAGAGGCGGAGGTTGCAGTGAGCCGAGATTATGCCATTGCACTCCAGCCTGGGTGATAGAGTGAGACTCTGTCTCAAAAAACAAAACAAAACAAAACAAAACAAAACAAAACAAAACAAAAAAAAACTCAATTAGTCACCCTAACAACACTGTGAGGTAGGTATTAGCTCTGAGACCCAGAAAGGCTAAGGAATTTGGCCAAGGTACCACAGTTGGTAGAGGGCAGAGCCAGATTTTGAACCAGAGTCCATGTTCTCAAGCACCTCAGTATGAGGCCAGCGTGTGGAAGCTTCTGGAAGTCTCCTCTCTGGAGCAACAGAAGGCACCGCTGTCTATGGGGGTGGTCTCCAATGCAAGAGGCAGCAGACTCCAGGGGCCTGGGGAGCCAATGTGCTGGGAGGAATGCAAGCACGGACTCAGGGCCCTCCGCGGCCCTCAGGCCTGTCTCTCACCTTATGTCTGTCCAGGGCTGCCAGAGGGATAAAATGGATTAATAAATGAAGGTGCTTTGAAAAGCACCCGAATATATCTCGTTGTTCTTCCCCAGGCTGGCCTGGCCTGGAATACCAATGAGGCCTTCTAGTCTGAGGCAGGTCGAAGGGCACAGCCAGGCAGAGGGATGGTTCATGCTCAGCTCAATCAGCCCATCAATCCCCTCCGGCTGCTTTCCCTCTGTTCCTGACCACTCCCACCCCCTTTATCCCCCACCCCGCCCCCAACTCCAGACAGGGAGTGGGAATGAGGCAAAAAGCAAGCAGGGAGCCGCCAGCACAAGAAAGGTCAGGTTGCTTACAAACCACTGCTCAACGAAATAAAAGAGGACACAAACAAATGGAAGAACATTCCATGCTCATGAATAGGAAGAATCAATATCGTGAAAATGGCCATACTGCCCAAGCTAATTTACAGATTCAGTGTCATCCATATCAAGCTACCAATGACTTTCTTCACAGAGTTGGAAAAAACTACTGTAAAGTTCATATGGAACCAAAAAAGAGCCTGCATTGCCAAGACAATCCTAAGCCAAAAGAACAAAGCTGGAGGCATCATGCTACCTGGCTTCAAACTATACTACAAGGCTACAGTAACCAAAACAGCATGGTACTGGTACCAAAACAGAGATATAGACCAATGGAACAGAATAGAGCCCTCAGAAATAATACCACACATCTACAGCCATTTGACCTTTGACAAACCTGACAAAAACAAAAAATGGGGAAAGGATTCCCCATTTAATAAATGGTGCTGGGAAAACTGGCTACCCATATGTAGAAAGCTGAAACTGGATCCCTTCCTTACACCTTATACAAAAATTAATCAAGATGGATTAAAGACTTACATGTTAGACCTAAAACCGTAAAAACCCTAGAAGAAAACCTAGGCAGTACCATTCAGGACATAGGCATGGGCAAGGACTTCATGTCTAAAACACCAAAAGCAGTGGCAAAAAAAAGCCAAAATTTACACATGGGATCTAATTAAGAGCTTCTGCACAGCAAAATAAACTACCATCAGAGTGAATAGGCAACCTACTGAATGGGAGAAAATTTTTGCAATCTACCCATCTGACAAAGGGCTAATATCCAGAATCTACGAAGAACTTCAACAAATTTACAAGAAAAAATCAAACAACCCATTCAAAAAGTGGGCAAAGGATATGAACAGACACTTCTCAGAAGAAGACATTTATGCAGCCAACAGACACATGAAAAAATGCTCATCATCACTAGCCATCAGAGAAATGCAAATCAAAACCACAATGAGATACCATCTCACACCAGTTAGAATGGCGATCATTAAAAAGTCAGGAAACAACAGGTGCTGGAGAGGATGTGGAGAAATAGGAATACTTTTACACTATTGGTGGGACTGCAAACTAGTTCAACCATTGTGGAAGACAGTGAGGCGATTCCTCAGGGATCTAGAACTAGAAATACCATTTGACCCAGCGATGCCATTACTGGGTATATACCCAAAGGACTATAAATCATGCTGCTATAAAGACACATGCACACATATATTTATTGAGGCACTATTCACAATAGCAAAGACTTAGAACCAACCCAAATGTCCATCAATGATAGACTGGATTAAGAAAATGTGACACATATCCACCATGGAATACTATGCAGCCATAAAAAGGATTAGTTCATATCCTTTGAAGGGACATGGATGAAGCTGGAAACCATCATTCTGAGCAAGCTATTGCAAGGACAGAAAACCAAATACCTCGGGTTCTCATTCATAGGTGGGAATTGAACAATGAGAACACATGGACACAGGGTGGGGAACATCACACACCGGGGCCTGTCGTGGGGTGAGGGGAGCGGGGAGGGATAGCATTAGGAGATATACCTAATGTAAATGATGAGTTAATGGATGCAGCACACCAACATGGCACATATATACATATGTAACTAACCTGCATGTTGTGCACATGTACCCTAGAACTTGAAGTATAATTAAAAAAAAAAAAAAAAGAAGAAGAAGAAGAAGAAGAAAAGAAAGGTCAGGCCGCTTAGAGCAACAAGCCCCTCCTGATTTACAAGATTCGGTCCGCGCTGCGAGTTTTGGGATTCCACCGAAATCCTTTGGCCCATCCTGCAGTGGCTTGGCACCGGGTTTGTTTTCCAGGCAGATTGCCTCCACCTGCCCTGGAATTTTTCTGGCAATGAGGCCAGCACAGTCAAGGAGAGGGGTCTGGGAGAAGGAGAGCTAGTAGCACCCACCCTGTGGAATGGCAGGAGGCTCTACAGGTCCCTTTGGCATTTGTCAGAGGAGCTAGGAAGGCGGCCTCAACTTCCACCTGTCCCCTCATCCTACTTCTCCCGGGAGCAGGCAGCTGGGTCAGCCAGCCATCAGGATCCAATACAGACTCACCCTAGCTGTTTGGTTTCAGTCTGCCCAGGACGGCAGCTGGAGCTGCGGTGTGGTGGGCAGAGATAAGGTCTCCGCCAGAGGCGGGCATTGAGCAGGGCTGAGATGTCTGGGCGGGAATGGGATGTGGGAGGGGCCACCCTAATATGCGGGATATCATCAGTCCGCTGCCCATCTGAAAAGAAAAGACAGGGACAGGGGCACAGAGAGAGGGGTGGGGGTAGTTCTAAAAGCCCAGGGGAAGGAGAAAAGGAGGAGAAATCAGGATATTGAAGAAAAAATAAACAGATATGGTGGAAAAAGAAGGGAAGAAGGAAAAAAATATTTTTGCATCCTCCTGGAAAGCAAAACAGAGAAAATAACTTCATTCCTAAATTGCAGTAGGAAGTATTGGGCTAGATGGGAGGAAGAAGAGAGGCCCTACCTAACTTTTATCCACTAGCCTGAGTTATACAGTGAAATGCCTTCTTTAGAAGTTCCAGGATAGGATGAAATGCTTTAGAGGGAAGAGAGGGGTCAGCCCTAAATACATGCAGGGAAGTGGGCCAAAAGACCTCTGAGAGGCCCTTCTAAGTAGACCTTAAGATTTTCTAAGAGGGAAAAGACAGAGAAGGCAAAACAACTCTAAGAACCAGAGGAAGGGGCAGAACTGACATTTATTGAGAGCCACCATATCAAGCACAGGGCTGGGCACGCTGCAGACATTATCCCATCTGTAATTCACACTCCAGCCCTCCAAAGTAGGTGCTATTTCTCTGTTTCACAAGTGGGTAATTTGAGTAATATACAAGGCTCTCTTAGTTGAATGGCAATTAAGTAGCAGAATCAGGATTTGAACTCAGGTTTGACACAAATATCCATGGTCTTTCTACCAGGCTCCTTCTTGGGAATGGGCAGTTGGAGGATTCTTACTGGTGGTAGAGGAAGCTGAAATGGTATAATGGAGAGAAGACTGAACCTCAAAGACCAAGGTCAAACAACTGGATCCAACAAGTAAATGATGTCCTGTGACCTTGGACAAATAATTTCCATATCACAGTCTCAGTTTCCCATCTTATAAAGTGAGGGTGGGGGCTAGATGCTCTCTAAAGCCTTTTCCACCTCTGAGCATATGGAATTTAGCTGGAAACTGACTTCCCATTTACTACTGTAGCTTCTCATTTCCTACTGCTGGTATTATGTAATCTTCTGGGCATAAGCTCTAGGTGTGAGAACCGTTCCTGCAGCCTGTTCAAGATTGAAGTCAAGACTGGAAATTATAATGACATTGCCTTAAGTGAGTTTGATCAATGAATAAGTAGTTAACCAAATAAAGAAATAATTCTTTATTAAGCCTCCCATGTGCCCGGTGTGATGTTTAACTGATAATACAAAGGAGAATTGGACTTGATTCTTCAGCTCCAAGGAATTTACAGGCTAATCAGAAATCCACACCCACAAAGGATGTTTGCCAAGTGTGATCAGAAATCACTAACATCTTATGGAAAAGCTTTGAAAGCCATGGCTGCATCAGCCTGCCTCTCCCACTTAGAGACGGGAAAGTTTATGTGAGCCAGGGTCGAGGCTGTTTGGGACTGTGTGATCTCTGTTTTGACGGCTGTGCTTTGCCTCCCTTGATGCTGGCTGCCTCTCACACATTGCTGAAGCCGTAGTTAATTGTCTCTGACTGTAATCGATCATCTCGGAGTGGGGAATCTGGTGCACTGGAACATGACCAGTCTAGGACCATGACCATGGTTCAGTCTAGGACCTGTCTAGGGGGAGACAGACCAGGAATAACAATTCATGGGGATGGCATGAGCATGCGGCAAGCAGAGAGAGGCATGTTGCACTTAGGAACAGTGACCAACCTGACTTCAGAAGGTGAGGTCCTCGCAGGAGAGACCACTGGTGTCAGGAGAGATCAATGGTGTCAGGAGGAGCTGGAGAGACAGGGAGAGGTACAGGTGGAGGCCTTCCTGGCAGAGGGGAGGAGAGTTGTTCACAGGCCTGGAGGAGAGAGAGCAAGGGTCTTGTCCCATGGATTGCAAATAAATGCTTGAGTCAGCTGGAATAGAGGACCAGGGTGCTGTGGGAAGAGGCAGTAATGAAGGGTGGGCAGAGCCAGATGAGAAGGATCTTGCGAGTGAACCGGGGGGCCTGGCTTTATCCTGAGAGTAACAAAGGAGCTGTTCCCCATGCTCCTGTCTAGAACAGCCTACTGTGGACTGTCCCCTTCCTTACCTCTCCTTTTAGGGCTCTCTGCCGCACAGGATACATTCCTTTCTACTTGGCCTGGTCAAATTCCACCCATCCTCTCTGGGCCCTGTTCAGATTTTCTTTCCTCCAGAAAGCCTTCCTAAACTACCTCATTCCACTAATTCACTCAACAAATGTGTACTGAGCTCCTCCAGCAGGCCAGGCACTGTGCTAGGTGGGCCCACCCTCAGGCAGCTTGCAGGGTGCAGTGGTGCACAACCCTCACTGACATTGCCTCCTGTGATCTCTTCCACGTGCCCAGCCAAGGTGGCTGTCAAGGACACATCCATAAGCAGTCTCCTCTGTCCTCAATAGACAGCTCTTCTTCATCTCTGCATTCTGGGGCTGGCTGGCACAGTGCTGGGCACGTGGGGGTCCTCAGCCCATATTTTAGAGATGTCTGGATTTCCAGCAACATTAAACTGAGTGGAAATTTCTCCCAGCTGACACCCACTCCTTTCCCTATTCTCCCTCTGCAGAGAAGAGAGACGGAAGCTCCAGCAGAACCTTTAGCACCAGGATGCAGAAAGAGAATGAGAAAGAGGGATGGGAGGGGAGGAAATGCCTGGGCTGTGTGCCAGCCCCGCATGCCTTGAGCCAAGCTGGGAGTTCGTGGTCCTCTGTGCTCTGGAATGTGACAGGGGCTTGCCAGGGCATCGTGGAGTGGCTCCTCTGCAAGCCACTCACTCCTCACCCTGGACAGAGCTGTGCTGGCAGCTCCTCCTGGGCCTTCCTTGAAGTGCACGGGTGCCCCACGGTGGACAGAAAGCAGGCCGTGATCTCACTCCTCCTGAAGGCTTTTGTCCCATTAACTAAAGGGCTCAGAAGCCTTTGTCCCCATAGGGTGTTGTTCCTTCCCTTGCATGGAGGTGAGCCTTGGGCTCCATGGTGTAAGAATCCCATGTTAAAGCCCTTTCTCTGACATGTGACCTGGGCTCTCTGGGTTTTTGCCTGACAGCGTGGTACACTCGTCCTCAGGTCAGCCCTGGGTCCCTGTGTCATCCTCTGCCAAATCAGGCAGACACCCACCCCCTTCTCATGGGCGTATCTTGCCCAGTGCAACTTTAAGAACAGAATTCAACTCTTCTGAGATTAGTCTAAATGCCCAGATTGGGGCTGGGGCATCCTGTGAAATTCTTCCACCTTCAGGACCCACTCACTGTCTCCAGAGACGGTCCCTGCTCTAGGCAGAGGCATGGAGAGCAGAGGCAAAGGGAACGGAGGCCAAGGAGCCACAGAGGCTAAGGTGAAGGGCTGAGGCGCAAGGCTGCAGGAGGAGTGGGGTTCTCCCTGACTGAGGCAGAGCCCTGGAATGCTGTGGAATGCAGGAGCCTACATCTTTACATTTTATTTTTTGTTTTTTCCTGAATAACCAGCTATGTGTAGCTGCTGGAAAGACACGGGTGTTCACCCCCCAGAAGCCCTGGGATGGGCAGTTCTATCCCTCTTGGCTCATCTCTGAGCTGTCTGCTGGTCCCTCACCTTCTAGGGCATGAGCCTCCTGGAGGGACACTGCCGGTACCCTACCAAGGAGGCTAAGCTGGAGCGAGAGACAGAGATGCAGCAGGGGAAAACAGCTCCAGCGAGCAGTAACCAAACCGGGAAAGGCCAGGAGGACACAGGATTAGAGACAAGGAGGATGGAGGAAAAAGGCAGCTTGGAGGGATCAAAGGATAAGGGACAGTCCGAGGGCAGGGAAAGTGAGCAGGGGCTATATTTATCCACCAGAGAGAAGGAAGCCTGCAGGCCCTTCCTGAGATCCACGAGCTAGGGGCTGGATTAGGGGCTTCTCATTTCATTTCATTTTCAGTGACACATTCCGCTTAATCCTCATCGCAGCAAGGATCCATGCTGCTGTTACAAGAATCTCGGCCTCTGTAAGGAGTTCAAGTAATTTGCTTGAGTATCCAAGACTAAAGTGATGGAGTGGGGATTTGAATCCAGGTCTGTGTGATTCCAAATGGTCCCTAACCCTCTGTCAGCAGCTTACCTGAGAGAGAGGAGGCTGGATCCACTAGTGGAGACAAGAGAACTTGAGCTCCAGAATTCTAGAATTTTAAGACTGACATCGGGGTCCCCTATACCAGCTCTAGCTCCAGGAGAAATTAGATGCAGTGAGAATAATGTTATGTTTCAGTTAGGTAGCCAATTAATTTTGAGAGGAAGTTAGAAAACCAACCAACCTCTCTCCTCCTCCTTCTTTCCTATCCTCCCTGCCTTCCTCCTTCTATTCCTCTCTCCCACCTTCCTTCCCTGCCTCCCTTCTTCTCTCCCTCTAAATTATTTATGGAGCAATTACATGTCAGGCATGATGTAAAGTCTGAAGAACAAACATGAATAAGGGCCAGTCCGTGCTCTTGGGGAACTCACAATCCCTTGGAATATTTCAGGAACCCGAAGCAGCTCTTTACGCGCCCCTCTCTATCAGTTGTTTTTTCCTTCCTGTCTTTACTTCTGTACTTCTGCGTCCACTATCAGGCCCAGCAAACCTCTTCTCCCTCCAGCCCCAGATCCCTCTGTTTTGAGAAGGGGAAGGTCAAGCTCTTGACAAGCCCCTCCCGTCCCGGGGCTACACTAGAGTGGGCAGTGATGCCACAAACAAGGCTTCTAAAAGCCCCGAGCCTTTGAGCTCCTTGCACTCATCTGGACGCAGCTGGGCCCGGGACAGCCCAAATTCTGCAGGTCATAAGTCACGCTGACTTCCAATTCTGGAACAAATGAACAGTTCCTTGGCTTCCATCCTCTTCCCCTCATAGCCACTGACCGACTGTCTCATATGCCCAGAGCCACCCACCACACCCCATTCCTCTCTGCTACTCATTGCAGAGACACTTAGAGCCCCATCACCCACATGGTCCAGTCTCAAAGTGGTTGTCACCAAATAAACTCAGTCCAGCAACCAAAAAATATTTCAGAAAAACTCAAGTTATTGGTACACCTTCTCTGATGCAATGAAGAGGATGGGGTAGGCCAGAACAGTACTTCTCAAGGTCCTAATTTTTCTCTCCCATTTATTTCTGTACATATCAGATCTGATCTGGCACCTCTCCTTTCCAAAACTCCCACCTCCCAAACTCCTTTTCCAGCTCTAACCACACACGCTTTCTCCTTCTTTTCTCCCTTTTCCTCCTGATTCTGCAACACAAAAGCCCTGCATATACAACCTGGCTAGGCAAGACCCTCCCTGGAGAGAGGAAAGGAAACGATGACTGAGTATCCTCTTTCCTAGGCAGGAAAGAGGGAAATGGCCAGAAACCCTCAGATAGTCATGTTGTTTCCCCATCATAATTGCTGTCACTCCAGGGAGCTCTTCCAGATCACTCAAAGCCCCAACTGGGCAGAACAATTTTTGGACAAAGTGACCATATATCTTATATACTATTGTAGTCAGCCCTGATTCAAATATTTTGTCCCAATTCCAAGCTACAATGGTCTACTATTAGTCAATTGTCCCGATTCTGAGTTGGAAAGATATGGTCAGCATATCCCTGACCGACCCTTCTTGCTAGTGTATTCTGACTGGATTAAATACTTACCGTATGCTGTTGATTGTGTTAATGTCTGCTTGGTCACCTAGAGACTCTAGGTTCCTGGAGCCCCCAAACTGGGTCTATTCTCATTTTGTCCTAAGCCTCAGGAATAGGTCTATATTAGCTGAAGCTACATAACAATTACCTTGAATATTAATGACTTAAAACAACAATAATCATGGACTGTCTCACATTGTTTCTATGGATCAGGAATCAGAGTGGCTTGGCTGGGTGGTTCTGGCTTGGGCATTCAAACGAAGATGTAGTCAAAATGTCAGCCAAAACTGCAGTGTCTAAAAGTTTGACTGGGGCTGGAGGATCCACTTCCAAGGCTGCCTACTCACATGGCTGGCAAGTTGGCACTGGCTGTTGGGAGAAGGCTTTGGTTCCTCTTCAAGTGTATCTCTCCATGTGGCATGGGCCTCCTTGCAACATAGTGGCTGGGTTCCAAAGGTGAGCATCTGGAGACAGAGAGCCAGCCAGAAGCTGAGCCCTTTTTTATGACCTAAGAGAATGTAAACCCTGCCTCTTGGTGGGAAGACTATCAGTTACAAGAAGAGCAGATGGCTTGGGATAAATTTGTAGGTGTGACCATCTTTGGAAAATACAGAGTGCCTCAAGGTCTCTGACACTTTTGAGCCCATAACAAATGCTCTTTGGTCAACTTAGTATTTACTGACACCTGGCGATGAAACTGCCATATCACAGAGGGCCTGAGATAGGAAAATAATTCAGGGTTCCAATTCTTTGCTCTGTATTTATACCCTTTGCCATGAAATTTTATAATGCCTTCCTACCTGACACTGGCCAACAACTTGATTTGCCTTGACCAGTGGAACATCAACAGATGTGAGTTAGGCAGAGGCCTTAAAAAGTGCTTGCATTTTTCTCCCTGGGCTCCTGCACATCTACCTGGCCATGCAAAATAAGTCCGGGTTACCTGACTTACCTATTATCCCAGCTGATCCACAAACATGTGAGCAAGGCCAGGGGAGATGAAAAGAACCACCCAGCAACCTGTAGGTTTGTGTCCAAATAAACACTTATGGTTTCAAGCCCCTGAGTTTGGGGGTTGGTCAGTTGTGCTGTGCTTTGAGGTGATCACTACCTGATATAGCCCTTTCTTCATGCTAACAGGAGAAGCACCTCATGAACTGGGAGCCAGGGACCTGTGTTTTAGTTCTGGCTCAGTATCTGTGGTGGATAGAATAATGCACCCCCATCCCCACCCTGCCCCACAAAGATGCCTACATTCTAATCCCCCAACCCTGTAGACATGTTATCTAACACAGCAAAGGAGACGTTATAGATGTGATGAAAGATCCTGAGGTGGAGAGATTATCCTGGATTATCCAGGTGAGCCCAGTGTAATTGCAATGGCCTTTACAAGAAGAAGGCAAGAGGGCCAAAGTCAGAGAAGCGGTGTGATGACGGAAGCAGAGGTTGGAGTGAAGACGGAGGATGGGGCCACAAGCCAAGGAATGCAGGTAGCCTCTAAAAGCTGGAAAAGACCAGGAAACAGCTTCTACCCTAGAGCCTCCAGAAGAAACTCAGCTCTTTATTTCCTCCTTTAAGGCATATTTTGGACTTCTGACCTCCAGAAGTATAAGAGAATACATGTGTGTTGTTTTAAGCCACTAAGTTTGTGGTAATATGTTACAGGAGCCATCAGAAATGAATGTAGTATCTAAGGACCCTGTGACTGAGAAGCTGTCGGTGAGCACTGTGGGCCCCACTTATTCCTTCTAGAAAATGGGGATATGTGGTAAATTCAAGAGGGCCCAAAATCTTTGCTATTCCTTCTTTTGAGATCTGGGTTGGCTTTAGTGGCTTGCTTAACCAATGGAATATGGCAGTTGTGATATTCTGGAACTTTCAAGTTGTGTAACAAGAAAGCTTGCAGCTTCCTTCCAGGTGGCTCTAAACACTCTCTGAGAGCCCTGGTCCTCTCTGTAAGAAGCCTGACTACCCTGAGACTGCCATGCTGGAGTGTGCACTCTGGTCAGCAGTCTCTGCTGAGCCCAGCCTCCCAGCCGGCCTGCCAAGGTGCCAGACATGTGGGCGAGGCTGTCTTGAACCCTCCTGATCAGCCCATCACCAGCTGAACACTGAAGTGACCTCAGGAAAAAACACACAGAACAGAAGAACCATCAAGCCAAGCCCTGCCAGAATTTCTGACCCACAACATCTCAAGATGTAATAAAATGGTTTGTTGTTTTAAGCTACTAACTTTTGGGGTGGTTTCTTATGCAGCAGCACTTAGCTGGCACAGTATGTTAATACATTATTTTCCCCTCTCATAGGATAATTAGGAGTCTCTAGTGAACAGCTTGGGTAAAAGAACCCTGAAAGTGAAAAGTTAGATTATCTTCACACTAGAGCAAAACAACTGGTATGAAAGAGGACAGGCAATGCCCCTTAAGTGAATGGTGTTGAGAACAAGACACTATGAAAATGAGAAAACTTAGGCTCAGAAAGAGAGTGCTATGGACTGAATTGTGCCCCTCCTCCCCTCAAATTCATGTGTTGAATCCCTAACTCCCAATGTGGCTGTATTTGGAAATGGGGCTTTTAGGAGACAATGAAGGTTAAATGAGGTTATAAGGGTAGGGTCCTAATCTGATGGTATCAGTGATCTTATAAGAAGAGGAAAAGAGAGAAATAAGTGAGAAGGCAGCTGTCTGCAAGCCAGGAAGAGAGTCCTCACCAGAACTCCACTATGCTGGATCCTGATCTTGGACTTCCAGTCTCCAGAACTGTGAGAAAATAAATGACTGTTGTTTAAGCCACCAGGGCTATGATATTCTGTTTCAATAACCCTAGCTAAGTTAGATTACCTAAGGTTCCACTGGCAGTAAGCAGGCCTGGGGCCTGGGGGCAGTTTGCTTTCCTGACTCCTGCTCCATTGTTTTTTCTGCTGTCTCCACTGTCTCTGAGAAGATCCTCACTACCCCGTGTCCTCTGGGTATCCTGTTGGCAGATTTCTTTGACTAAACTGCTGCACAAAGGACAGGACAATTGGAGAAGTCAGCCCTATTTTAAGCCAGGTCTGTCTCCTAAGCAGCTAGTTATCCTTGCTCAATCTTTCACCAAAATTTCTACCTGCTGGAGAGTCACTGAACCCCTCGGTCCCTTCAGACTCCTCAGGGAGATCTGAAGAGCAAAACTTTGAATGGGTGTCCACAGATGGACTAGACAGAGAGCCAGGCTATCACCCTGGTGGAATAGCCGGGTAATAGGTTGGCTCTCCTCCTTTCTGTATCATTCCTTCCACTGGCTTCTGGAAACAGGGTAGCCTTGGCATCTTCCCTTGGAACTGTGATTCAGGGCTCTGTCCACCCTGCTGTTTTCCTGGAAGCTGGTGGGTTCAGTCTGAAGTTTGGTGGGGTTAGACAGGGTGGAGAGTATGGTTCATCAGAAGGTCTGTGAATTAGTCTAGAATTGGATTTGGGCTGGGACACGGAGAAGGAAGCAAGCTCCCTTCTTTAATTTAGAGGAAGTTGTTGGTGCAGTCCCAACCTTCCAACTCACTTACTCCAACTTCCCTTTTCCACCAGCTTTTTGCAGCCATGACCTCCATGTCTGTATTTGCCAAACATAGGAACAGCATCTCCATTTTTAACAATGGAATTTTCTACCTTTTCCTAAAGATACCATCTACAATTTTAAAATATATTTTCTTCCTCCTCTCATTTCACAGACTACTCCCGTTATCTCCCTAGCTTTCTCTATGTTAAGCATCTCTTTGCATTCTCTCTAGGAAATAGTGGAGTGTAGGAGTTAACATGTGGGCTCTGGAGTCAGATGCTCCTGGGTCTAAATCCCAGCCTACTTTTTAACAGCTATACAACCTTAGTTGAGTTACTTAGCCTCTGTGTGCCTTGGCTTTTTCTTCTGAAAAATGAAACTAATAATAGTCCCTACCTCATAAGGCTGTTAAGGGAATTATAGAAGACAGACTACACCACATCAAGGGCCTGGCATATAGTAATTGCTGGAAAATGTTACACATTGTTATTTAAACTCTCATTGCCTGACTGGGTGCGGTGGCTCACAGCTATAATCCCAGCACTTTGGGAGGCTGAGGCAGGAGGATTGCTTGAGCCCAGGAGTTTGAGACCAGCCTGGGCAACATGGTGAGACCCTGTCTCTACAAAAAAAAAAAGAAAAGAAAAATTAGCCAGGTATGGTAGTGTGCACCTGTAGTCCCAGCTACTCAGGAGACTGAGGAGGGAGAATTATTTGAGCCCAGGGGGTTAAGGCTGCAGTGAGCTGTGATCACACCACTGTACTCCAGCCTAGGTGACAGAGGGAGCCCCTCTCTTAAAAAAGAAAAATAAAATAAAACAAAAGAGTCTGTGTCATTGCTTGATTAGGTCTGATCATTACACAGCTGGCTCTTTCTCTGTTTCTTTATCTAAAAGACAAAAATCTGGGGAGAAAGGGAGACAGGAATGAATGCCCAGACCCAAGGTGTTTCTATTCTCCACTCCCCCAAGGTCAGAGGTGATAGGCTAATGAGTTCAGAAATATTCCTGAATTTGACAAGAAACCCTGAGACTGGAGATGGGTAGTCATCCTCTCTGTTCTGTCCATTCTTTTGCACTAGCCTGTCTCCTGCTGGAAGAGGAGACCCTCTCCACTTGAGGATTAGGGAAGTCCCCAATTTCCCCTGGGGACGTGAGCCAGTGTTTTATGGTCCAGATGATCTGGTAATGTTCCCTCCTGCAGCCAAAGCCCTCTTTTCCTTTCTGAGTGTCGAGACAGTGAACAAACAGCCAGGGCCCCGCTCTTCCCCAGCAAGCATATTTTCTAAATCTGCACAGCCTGTCCCAGTGGGAGGCCCCTGATGGCAGAAGGTTCCATGGCTCCACCTCACAAATTAGGGAGGATGCAGGGGGTGGAGGGACAGGACTCGCTGGGGTGAGGCGGCTGTTCCAGACATCAAGGCGGCAGGGCACTAAATACACAAAGGTCAAGGGAGCCTGTGTCTGGAGTCTCTGCTGGGCTCCCCTTACCAGGAGGCACCAGAACGCGCTGCATTCATGACCCATTACACCAACAGAAGCGGCAACAACTACAGAATTGCAAAATATTTTCCATCCCCAGCCCCTGTTCTGGTAACTTCTTTTTTCATTGCTCATTCTGCCGATTTTTCCATATTTGCCTGAGATGAATGAATGGCTAGATTCAAGGGATTTTTTTTTTTCAGTGAAATGTTTAGAAAATGACTACTGACACTACAATGACTTTCTTTCTCCTGGTTTGTTTGTTGGTTTGTTTGTCTTTTAAGGGAGTGGACTTGGATTTTTTTTTCCCTTCTTTTTAAAGACACCTAAAGACTCAGGTTTGTCGTACAATGACCACTTGTGTTATATATATTCCTAAAGTCCCAGTTTTTTTTAAGGCCAGTTCATCTATACATATATATTATATTAAATGTATGGATTTTTGTTCACAATTTATGTGTGCAAGAAATGTGGCTTTCCTTTATTTTCTTTAAGAAATTAAATTTTTATGAACATATTCAGACTGGAAAACTAACATAACACACAAAAAAGAAAAAAAACAAAAATCAAAGAAAAAGTGAAAAACATAGAAATTAGATTTTTATTTTGACTTTTCAGTCTTTTAGGCTGGCAGAATCTTTGTCTTGGTTAACTCAGGAATCAACCTCCTTTTCCCCAGGGTTGTGTCTAATTTATAGGGTGGGATGGGTCCAGGTCCGGGAACTCATTGTCACCTATTACAGAGGCATCCTCTGAGACCTCCATCAGTCTGCCTCGTCCTGGCTGGTGGGCTTGTCAGATAGGAAAAGATGCCCCTTGTCCCTGCCCCGTGGTCCCTTCAGGTTGGTGTCTTTCCCTGTTACTTCTCTGCTACTCAGCAAAGACTCTGGAGCTTCACCACATGCTGGAACAAACAGATTATATATGAGGAAATCATCTATTTCCTCCCAATAGTGTATTACCTGCCTAGGAACACGAAGCACTTCTCAGAGCTTGTTGCTCCATGGGTCTGTCCAGATACAGAAGGCACAGACCCCACTGTTCTTGGATCCCTCTTATCTCCTGGTATTTAGTCCCTCTCTGGGGCTAAGTTTGGTCCATGAATGAAGAAATGGGTGCAGGGCCCACTTCTCTAAAACTCACCAATTTCTGTATTCTCTTGTTCTCCTTCATCCTGTACACCTGAGTTTTAGGAGATGTCAATCATGCATGGGGTAGGGGCCTTACGATATTCCCCTCCCAAATCTTTTACCTAATCTATGTTATCTAGTCAAGGGAATGAAAGCTGGGTGCAGTGATTTTTTCTCTGCTAATACAACCCTGTCTGGAGGCTTTGGGAAGCATGGGCAAAAGAGGGGGAGGGAATTCTGGGGAGGAATGTAAGTTAGCACTTCAGAAAAATTTCCTGCCCCTCCTAAAGACTCACAGCCTTTTAATATGGTGAACACATGTCCAGTACTTTCTATAACAGTCCCCAAAAGGAATAATTTTATTCTTTAAAAGGTGATCCTCTATTAAATCTCTAGCTAAACATGTTTTAGCTTGCATCCTCTGGTAAGGCTTTTCATAAAGAAACATGAAAAAGTACAAGTGGGGAGAGGTGGGAGGGCTCTGAGCCCTGCCACTGTCACTCCCATGTGGGATGCATCATGGCAAGGGGTATGTCACCGGGTCCTGCCATGCTGACCGGAACAGGGATTTCTCAGAAACCCCCTCCAGAGGAAGGAGGAGCGTGCCTGAACTTCCTTCTCTTGAGGGACAATGGAAGTGTTCCTGGGCTCCCCCGTCCTGCCAGAGGAGCTGGCCACTCAGCCAGAGAGCTGTGGAATCCTATCTGCTTCAAGGACTCTCAAATGATCGCACAAGCCGATTATACCTGAACTTGAAGCAGTGACAATGACGCCTTTCACCCCTCCCTCATTTTGTCCTTGCTCATGTCATCCCCTGCCCCCACGCGCAGCATGCCTGACTTTCCTACTCTGAAGTAGTTTATTAATCAGGGTTTGCTTTACCTGGTGAGGAGTTCTTAAAGTAGCCAAGGTAAGTCCCGTGTGTTTGAGTCCCGATCAAGCCTGACTGTCTTTTGCTCTTCTCACCCCACACACCACCGCCACCTCTAGGTCGTCCCAGCAACTCCCATGACTTCAGCTACCACCAGCCTACAGATGAGCCAGATCTCTGTCTCCAGCCTACCCTTTTCACCTAAACTCCACACCGGTACACCCACCTGCCTGCTAGACATTTCCACTTGGATGTCAAATTTGAAACACCTCGGGCGGGCACGGTAGCTCACACCTGTAATCCCAGCACTTTGGGAGGCCAAGGCGGGTGGATCACCTGAGGTCAGGAGTTCAAAACCAGCCTGGCCAACATGGCAAAACCCTGTCTCTACTAATAATACAAAAAAATTAGCCAGGCATGGTGGCGCATACCTGTAATCCCAGCTATTGGGAGACTGAGGCAGGAGAATCACTTGAACCTAGGAGGCGGAGGTTGCAGTGAGATGAGATAGCACCATTGCACTCTAGCCTGGGTGACAAGGGCGAAACTCTGTCTCAAAAAAAAAATTTTTTTTTGAAACACCTCAAATTCAACTGTCCAAAAGTGAACTCGCTAATATCCCCCTTAACCAGGTTCTCCTTGTAGTCCATATCTCAGTGTGTCACACTTGACAGTGGTTTCACTGTCAGTGGATGGGCTTGGAGTGGGGCAGTGTCTATGAACCTCCTGAAATTGCATGTGAGATCTTGTGTGTATATTCGTTTTCTTCCTGCAGACAGGGATGGTAGCTTTGTCAGATCCTGTCTGAGAAACAAAATGACCACTGAGCTAGAGTCAAGTCCCTGTGTATTTCTCTGTTTTGTAACTTCTGGCAGTCTTTTCCCTGTCCTTCCACCCCCGCCCCTCATGAACCTATGCTCCATGGACACTGACTGCCTCCTGCAGTTTCCAGAAAATGACACTGATTTAATGCATGCTGATCCTTCTGCCTAAAAGGTGATGCCCACCCACTTTGCATGAAACCTTCAGGCATCACCTCCTCTGGGAAGCCTACCCTGGCCCTGGCTGACCCAGGTGGAGTAGATTAGCCTCTCCCTAGGGCTCTCACATTAATATGCCACCCATCATACTATAGGGCAGCCTCTTGTAGATTTTAATGAAATGCAGATGTTCCAGCCCTGCCTCCACCCTAGTTAATCAAAACTGTGAGGGAGTGAAGCCCCAGGGGACACTGAGGCACACCCTGCACAGAGAACTACAGTTGTAGAGACGTTCTTTGTGTTCATTTTTCTTTGATGCAATAGATGATGAACTCCTTGAGAGCAGGGATCTTGTCTCAGTCAACCCTCTAATCCTTATGGCACTCAGGACAATGCCAAGGAATAATACTATGAGTGAACCCTGATGCAGCGTTTTATATGTGGCAGGCTCTGTCCTGGGAGATTTATGTGTATTTATGTGTTCAGTATCCTCACAATTCCCCAGGAGGTGTACTACCAGTCCCATTTATAGATGAGGAAATGTTTGATAAACAAATGAATAAGGGAACCATACTTACTAGAGAGCTGATTGTTTTAGCAAAATCTGAACTGGATTCATTTCATAACATGACTTTATTTTTTGCATATATTCAGATTTTTCAGTGAGTGAGTGTAACATAGGTTACTAGCTGTGTCCTAAAATATGCCTTCTCCTGCCTTCTCAGAATAAAAACTACATTTCCCAGCCTATCTTGGGGCTAGGTGTGGACATTGGAGTAAGTGGCCAACAGGATATATACAGTGGTGGTCTTTGCTACTTCTAACAACCCTTCCCTTCCTGCCAGCTGGAAAGTTGGTATGAGGATGTGCCCTCTTGGGCCATGCAAACAAAGAGTCAGCTAGAAAAGAGGGGAGGATGAGGTAGAAAGCACCTTAGCACCTGCTGACTCTATGAAGCCAACTGTCATGCTTTCCCATGCTTTTTATACCAGCAACAAATAAACTTCTGCTTTGCTTAAAGTATTTGTATTTGTGGTTTCTGTCACAGCACATGAACTTATATCCTAACTAATACAGTAGGTTTGAGTGACAGTGTTTCATATGCCCAGGACCTTACTGGCTCTTTGGGACATAAGAGAGAGACATGCACAGGACTCCGTCCCTACCTTAGGACCTTGCATGGTGAGTGTGAAGACAAACGAATGGAGGACAGACCAAGGCAGCAGCAGAGGCATTCAGCTCAGACTCTACACCCTCAGAGCACAGGGCTGAGAAGTGTCTCATTCTTCTCTGACTGTATCCAGAGAGACCTTCTCAAGCGGTGCCAGAACCAGACGGGCACTACGAGAAACCCACCCAGGAAGACCCGGGACAGTCTAGCCTGAGCTGGCTCCTTGCCCAAAATGGGGGAAAGAATGGTATAGGACAGAAGTGGAGAGGGCCAGCAGGGAGGGAAGATGACATTCTTGTTTCCTGCCTCCTCCTCCTCCTGGCCACCAGCCCCAGGATGCAGCCTCCAGCTATTATCTGCTCTCTTGGGACGAAAGTGATCAGGAGAGCACTTTAAATAACCAGGTTGTTGTTATGAAGCATAGGAGGCAGGTGATCATGCCCATTCACAATTACCCCTAAGCTGAAAGAGACCACTGCCCCTTACCTCTGTCCATTTAATGGAATTAATAGATTTAATGAAATTAATGGTGGGACCACTCCCAGCCAGATGTTTGTTGGAAGGACAAGTGGGGTTCAGGAAACAGTGATAAAGATCAGTAGGAAGGATCCCAAACCATACCACAACCACGGCCCCTGAGGCACTCCCACCCTCACTCTCTTTTTCAGGGACCACCTCCTCCAGAAGACTTTCCAGAAATTGCCTACTGTGTCTCCTCTCTGAGCTTCCCACGGCTCTCAGACATCCACACACAGCAGGCTTTCCCTTCCAGCTTCCTTCTCTCTTCCTGGTCTGTGAGTCCCAGCTTCCCCAGGGAGCTGTGAGCCTCATCTATCCCAGACTCCCCGCAGGAGCAGGCACCCCACTGGGCTCAAGAGATTTAGGACATCGTGACTGTTCCACTTGCTGGTGAGTTAAAACCCAGTGAAATAATCTCCCACCATCTGTGTGAATACTTTGCCCTTACTTTTTTTTTTTTTTTTTTCTGAGATGGAGTCGCACTCTGTCGCCCAGGCTGGAGTGTAGTGACATGATCTTGGCACACTGCACCCTCCACCTCCCAGGTTCAAGCAATTCTCCTGCCTCAGCTTCCTGAGTAGCTGGGATTACAGGCACCTGCCACCACACCCGACTAATTTTTGTATTTTTAGTAGAGACGGGGTTTCCCTACGTTGGCTTGGCTGATCTCAAGCTCAGGTGATCCGCCCACCTCAGCCTCCCAAAGTGCTGGGATTACAGGTTTGAGACACTGTGCGGCCCCTACCCTTACATTTTTATGTAGATGTTAGGGTTATCTCAGCAATGTTTTCCAGAGAAAAAACATTGAAAGAGCTCGGCAGGGGCCCTGACCTCTGCACCTACACTTACTGGATTCAAACCCCAGCTCTGCCACTTACAAACTATAACTTCCTAAGCAAATTCCTTGACCTTTCTGTGCCTCAGTGTCCTCATCTGTAAAATGGGGATAATAACAGCCTATACCTCAGAGGGCCTGTGTAAGGAGTGAATGAGTTCATGCACGTGTAGTGCTTGGAACAGTGCCTGCCACATAGCAGGCACTCTTATTAATTAAATTCATTTGAGTCTCACAGAATCTCATTGGATTCTCACGACACTGGGGAGTAGGTAAAAATAACTCAGGCCAGGTGCGGTGGCTCACGCCTGTAATCCCAGCACTTTGGGAGGCCCAGGCAGGCGGATCACAAGGTCATGAATTCGAGACCAGCCTGGCCAACATGGTGAAACCCTGTCTCTATTAAAAATACAAAATTAGCTGGGTGTGGTGGCATGTGCCTGTAATCCCAGCTACTCAGGAGGCTGAGGCAGGAGAATAGCTTGAACCCGGGAGACGGAGGTTGCAGTGAGCCGAGATCACACCATTGCACTCCAGCCTGGGCGACAGAGCGAGACTCTCAAATAAATAAATAAATGAGTCTTCACAGAAGAGAAAACCAGGCTCAGAGAAATGAAGTGACTTGCCTTAGGCAACACAGCTAATAAGTGACCACGTGGTTCCTTGAAGCTGAGATTCTGAGCCCTGCAGACGTGGCATGTGGAAGCCCTGAACGCTGGCCTCCCTGCCATCCCTCCATCTCCCCCTCCCCTGGCATTCCTGTGGCCTCCCCACACATTCTTGAAGCCTCCCAATAACGGTCGGCGTTCCTGCCCCAAACCCACCAAGGGCGGGGAAGTGGTACCCACCTCACCACACCCCTGCTTGCCTGGTCTCAGGCAGCGAGCCCAGTGCGAGCCACACGGCTCCAGCGGCGGTGCGGGTGGGCACCATGAGCGGAGGGGCCCCAGCCCTCATCTGCCTCTGAGGGCCCGCCTGCCCAGGATCCTGTAGATTATCTTCTGGCCTCAACCTGCAGGGCGTTGCTGGCATGCCTCCTGGCCCAGGACAGTGGAGCCTTGTTAGAGAGAACGCACAGATCCCATGGCTCTGCCACTAAGACAGTGTGGCAGAGCAGACGTGCCAGGAAGGGGGCTGGGTAGGGGTCCTTGGACAGGGGTCTTTGGACAGAGAGGAGTGAGCAGGTCACTGTCTGCATGGGAGCCAGATGTTATCTGAGAGGCAGAATGAGGCTGCATGGGTTATTTGGGTGGGGTCCTCAGGCAGGGCTGGCCTGTATAGAGACACATCAGCAGCCCCTTATGTGTTGATGTGAATGGACGTGATGTGGAGCTTGATCCCTTCAGGGTGTTCTGGGCTTTGCAGCTCACACAGTCCCTTCACAGATGCCTCATCAGGTCTCATAACCACCCTCTGGGTAGGTATTACCTCTATTTACAGATGAGGAACCAAACTCAGAGGTCCTGACTTCAATTCAGAGGTCTTGCTGCTTGACCTCACCATTTAGACAGACACAGGCCTAAGCCAGGGAGAGCAGGCAGGCCCCAGCCGCATGCAGGAAGGGAGCTGGTGGGGCGCAGGGTGGGGCCAGAGGGCAGGCGCTGCTCTGGGCTGCTGATTGTTGCCAGGTGGGAACAAAGCCTCTTGATTGTGAGAACTTTGGGTTTTTCCAGAGAAGCTGGAAATCTGGATTTTTGAAATAAGAAATCTCCCATCCTTGAATGTTGACAACTAATTTAATTTATTTTAAAATGTCTAGTGGGCTAAACAAAACACATTTTTGGGCTGGTCTGGGCTCCAGGCTGCCAGTTTGCAGATTTGGGCCTTACGTTGCCTCCACGATGCCAATAAAGCCCAGATAAAACCTTCCCCACCCCAACTGAATTTAAAAATTCAAATGCCCCTGGGGTGGGTCAACACAATAAGATTATTTATTGAGCACCTATATGTCAGAGTTGGTTTTGGTAATATGAGATATAACTCAACAGAAACAGACAAAGCCCCAGCCTCATGGAGCTGTCATTCTAATTAGAGGACATAACACAAAGATTCATTTATAAAATTTATAATGTGTTAATAATCACTGCTAGGGAGAAAATAAAGCCGAAAGGGGGTTAAGAAGTTTTGTGTGAGTATTGCAATTTCAGGTAGGGTGGCCAGAGGCAGCCTTGCTAAGAAGGTGAAATGTGATAAAGCCCTGAAGGATCTTAGGAAGAACACCCAGAAGGAGGGAGTAGGGCGTACTAGTTTGGTGCAAAAGTAATTGTGGGGTTTTGCCATTACTTTCAAGGGCAAAAAGCTGCAATTACTTTTGCAACCAACCTAATACAAAGACCCTGAGGCCCAAAGGGGAGTGCTGGATTGGTTGAGAAATAGGAAGGGAGTGAGAGGGTCTGGGTGAATGAAGGGCGAGTAATAGGATTAACAGTCAGAGAAGTAAGAGGAGTGGGGACGGGGAAGCCAAAGGGCCCAGAGCCTTGGGTTTTCCTCTGAGATTGGAAGCCACTGGAGTAACAGGATTGTTCTTGCTGCTGTGTTGAGACTGAAATGAAGAGAAGCAAGAGAGGAAGCGGGGAAACCCTTTGAGAGACTATTGCAACAATAGTGCTGGGACTAGGGTGGTGGCTGTGAAGGTAGTGAGAAGTGATCAGAATCTCGACGTAGTTTGTAGCTAAACCCAGTGGTGTGCTGGCAAAGGTTTAACAACTGGCTCTTGGGAATGGGGGTTGGCTGATTTCTGTGATGTAAATATTCCCATCATGGCTGATTTCAAGCTACCAACAGGATGTCAATCAGCTTATGAGATTTCTAAAACTTGTAACTGTTGGCTCTTGGGAGTCAACATAGGCCAGTTTCAGCACACCACTGAGTAGGTCTAACAGGATTTGCTGATGTGAGAGATGAGAGAAAGAGACCAAAGATGACTCCAAGATTTGGGCAATTGATAAAATGAAGTTGCCATTTATTTAGATGGGGAAGAATATAATGGGACTAGGTCTGGAGGAAAATATCAGAGATCTCAGTTTGGACATTACAAGTTTGAGAAATCCATTATATCTTTAAACTTTAGACTTCACAAGACATTACTGTTACTGTTTTCTACAATGGATGGTCATTTGGATTACCCACACATTTGCCACTTTATTGCTTTTCATTCTTTCTTGCCTCTCAGACTTTCCATCCAAGATCATTTCCCTTCTGCTCGAAGAATAGAATTTCCTTTAGAGGAAATCAGCTGGTAGCAAACACATTTTTGTTTGTTGTTTTTCTACTTTATTTTTATCATCTGAAAGCATCTGTACTTCACTCTCACTGTTGAAATGTATTTTCACTGAGAAAAGAATTTTAGGTGGGCAGTTATTTTCCTTCAACATATTAAAAATTTGTTTAGGGCGGGTGCAGTGGCTCATGCCTGTAAGCCCAGCACTTTGAGAGGCCAAGGTGGGCAGATCAGCTGAGGTTGGGAGTTCAAGACCAGCCTGGCCAACATGGCGAAACTCCGTCTCTACTAAAAATACAAAATTAGCCGGGCGTGGTGGTACATGCCTGTAATCCCAGCTACTTGGGAGGCTGAGGCAGGAGACTCACTTGAATCTGGGAGGCAGAGGTTGCGGTGAGCCGAGATCACGCCATTGCACTCCAGCCTGGGCAACAAGAGCGAAACTCCATCTCAAACAAACAAACAAACAAAAAACAAACAAAAAATTTTGTTTAAGATAATTTATCTTTAATATTGTTTTTTGTGTTTGGATTTACGCAAGTTTCATAATAATGTGTCTGGATGGGGATATCTGTTTATCCTTTTGGAGATGAATTTGTCTCCTTAAATTTGATATTTGTTTCTTTCATCAGTTCTGGAACATTTTCAGTTGTTATCTGTCTACGCATTGTCTCTGGCAATTACTCTCTCTTGTGTTTCTGAGACCCTAATTAAACATATGTTGGTTCTTCTCACTCTGTCCTCTGTGGCTCTTTACGTTTCTTTTATCATTTCCATTCTATTGTCCCTCTGTGCTAAATTTTGGATAATTTCTTCTGCCTTCTAGTTTGAATTCCCTCTAGCTGTATCTTTCGAGCTTTTATTTGTATTAATCGAATTTGTTATTTCTAGAAGTTTGATTTGGTCTTTTTCTAAATCTAAATCAAATGTTATAATTTCTTATTTACCATAAAATTTTCAAGCATGACTTTTATTTCTCTAAGCACAGTAATCATAATTGTTTTATACTGTGTCTGATAATTATAAAACCTAACGTTTTTACAGTTTAGTTTCTCTTGTCTGTTGTATCTGTGGGTTCTTATGCAAGGTGTCTATTTCTGGTATGTTTGCTTATTTTTGTTTGTTTCCTGCTCATCATACTTGAAAAATAATTTGATGGAATAATTTGAAATCCAAGGAATGAGGGTGACTTTCTTCTAGAGAAGGTTTTTTTTTTTTTTGGCTTTGTTTTTTTTGCTTTGCCAAACACTTGTGGCCAGCGTTGATCTAAAACCACCTTAAATCAAGTGCGAGGAACTGAGTTTCCTTGGACCACAGTGACGAGAATTCTGCCTTCCTGTTGCCAGCCTGGTATAATCTGGGTTCACCTTTACTCCAAGGGTGTTGTCCTTTGTGGTCCTTGCTTATGGAAGGGATGGATGTCTCTCCACTTTCTTCAAACCCTGAGTTTTGATTTCTTTCTTTCTCTCTTTCTCTCTTTCTTTCTTTCTTTCTTTCTTTCTTTCTTTCTTTCTTTCTTTCTCTCTTTCTTCTTTTTTTGAGACAGAGTCTCGCTCTGTTGCCCAGCTGGAGTGCAATGGCGCAGTCTCAGCTCACTGCAGCCTCCACCCCCTGGATTCAAGCGCTCCTCCCACCTCAGCCTCCTGAATAGCTGGGATTACAGGCACCTGCCACCACACCTGACTAATTTTATTTTTAGTAGAGATGGGGTTTTACCACGTTGGCTGGGCTGGTCTTGAACTCCTGAACTCAAGTGATCTGCCCACTTCGGCCTTCCAAAGTGCCAGGATTACAGGCGAGAACCACCACGCCAGCCCAGCTTGAGCATTGATTTCTATCTTCTTTCCCTTGTAGACATCAAAACAATAGTTGAGATTTACTGGGATCAGCAAATACCCTCGGGGCAAACCTTTAGTTTCCATCTCTGAGGTTTCCATTTTTTTCCCTTTAATTTTGTCTGGTTGGTTGTTTCTCTCTTGCTAAGTCTTATTAGCTCTTGTTTCTAAACAAAAAATTTTTTAAAAAATTTATCTGTCAGTTTTACTTGTTTTCAGTGGTAGGCTTGGTCCAAATAACCTTATCCACTATTACTAGAAATTAGGGAATCCCACTGAAAGGTTTTGGGTTGGCGCAAGTGACATGACATGAAATTTTTCATGGTGATGAATATATTTTACATTTGACCGGCATATTTAAAAAATGCTTAGCATCACTAATCATCGGGGAAATGCAAAGTAAAACCACAAGGAGATATCACCTCACACCTATTAGAATGGCTGTTATCAAACACAGACACACACACACACACACACACACACACACACAAAGACACGAGATAACCAAAGTTGGTGAGGATGTGGAAAAAAAGGAACCCTTAGGAATGTAAATTAGTACAACCGTTACAGAAAGCAGCATGGAGATTCCTCAGAAAAACTTAAAAATGGAACAACCACGTGACCCAGCAATCCACTACTGATATATATCCATAGGAAAGGAAATCAGTGTAGTGGCCCCCGCTTATCCATGGGGATACAAGTACTTAATTAAGTACTTGTCATGCACTGTGGCTGTCACTTCTGCGATTTGAGATGTGACAACAAAACTAGCATGAATTTCTTTTTCCTTCTTCACAATTTCATAGATAGAAGCTTCCTTCTTATCATAGCTCTTAGTAATTTCAGCCTACAATATTTTTTCTTTTCTTACTAAGTTGAAAACGTTCACCTTTTCACTTCAAGGAAGCACTCTGTGGTGTCTCTTTGGCATACTTGAATTGTCACCATCACTACTCTTGTGCTCTGGGGCCATCATTAAGTAAAATGAGGGTGACTTGGACACAGGCACTGCTGTACTGAGACAGTTGATCTCATTACTGAGATGGCTACTAAGTAACGTCTACAGTGTGGGTATGCTGGACAAAGGGCGGATTCATATCGCCAGCAGGATGAAGCGGGAGAGTGCAGGATTTCATCATGTTACTCAGAACAGTACACAATTTAAAACTTATGAATTGTCGGCCGGGCGCGGTGGCTCACACCTGTAATCCCAGCACTTTGGGATCCGAGACGGGCGGATCACAAGGTCAGGAGTTCGAGACCAGACTGGCCAATATGGTGAAACCCTGTCTCTACTAAAAATACAAAAATTAGCCTGGCGTGGTGGTGGGCACCTGTAGTCCCAGCTACACAGGAGGCTGAGGCAGGAGAATCACTTAAACCCAGGAGGCGGAGGTTGCAGTGAGCCGAGATCAGCCACTGCACTCCAGCCTGGGGAACAGAGGGAGACTCTATCTCAAAAAAAAAAAAAAAGAATTGTCTATTTCTGTAATTTTCCATTTAATATTTTCAGGCCATTGGTGGTGGTGTGTAACTGAAACCACAGAAAGCAGAACTTTGGATAAGAAGGGGCTACTGTATATCGAAGAGATATCTGCACTCCCATGTACACTGCAGCACTATTCACAATAACCAATGTGGAATCAACCTAAGTATCTATTGATTGACGAACAGATAAAGCAAATGTGCTGTACATACACAGTGGAATATTATTTAGCATTAAAGAAGGAAACCTTGTCATTTGCATGAACATGGATGAACCTGGAAGACATTATGTTAAGTGAAACAAGACAGGCACATAAAAACAAACACCATATGGCCTCACTTATATGTGGAATCTAAAAAAGTTGAAACCATAGAGGCAGAGAGCAGAATGGCAGTGACCAGGGGCTGGATGGGGGTGGAAGTGTTGGGGAGATGTTGGTCGAAGGATACAAAATTTCAGTTAGAAAGGAAGAGTAAGTTTAAGAGATCTATTGTACATGACGGTGACTGTAGTTAACAGGAATATATTGTGTACTGAAAATTGCTAAGAGAATACATTTTTTTATGCTCACCACAAAAAATGAGAAGTACATGAGATAATTTATATATTAATTAGCTCAATTTAGCCATTCTACAATGTGTATGTGTGTAACTGTATATATTTAGGTTATACAACATAATGTATGTTATGTATACACACACATTATGTTGTATAACCTAAATATATATAATTTTTCTCAATTTAAAACATTTTTCAATACATCTGATTGGGGTGGTGGTTGCATGGGTATATATACATACACATATGTGTCAAAGTTTGTCAAGCTGTATACTTCAAATGGGTACCTATTTGTAACCTGTTACTCTATGCAAATTATAATTTTTAAAAATTGATTTAAAAAGTAAGAACTCTGGCTTCTGGTACAGAATGAATTATACAGTGGCAAGAGGCCCTGCAGTGGACCCCTGATGGGGAGTGTAAAGGCTAGGTGGTGTTTACCATCCCAGCCACCTGTGGAGCCCAGAGTCTAATTATAGATGGTGGGAAAGCCCCTTTTTATAAATGCAGTGTTAATGAGCGTGTATAGTTATTAAGATGGGTCAGTAGGTAGCACGTGGGGTAGAGTTGTTTATCAGAATAGATCCAGGGCTAAATGGAAATGGGTCTGGAGGAACCGAGGAGCTCGAGTTGAAGATGGATAGGATAAACCCGGGGAAGCCTCTTAGAAAAGAAAGCCTCATCTTACAAGAAGAGAAGGAGCCAGAATGCTTTGCTCCTGCTGCTTTTGTGGGCAGACCTTGATGCAAGGGAGGGAAGGCAGGGAAACATGAAAGTGAAGATGGTGGGGGCACTGGGAGGTGGGTGGCATGGCCTGGAGATCAGAGTTTTTTTTTTGGGTGCCAGAGTGTATATGAGGGCACCAGGGGAGAATCCTTGATGGAGCAGGGAGGGTGCCAACCTCACTCTTGCTGGACTAGCAGCGGCTGTGTCTCCAGGTCCCCCACTCCCCACCAGCCTGGTTCTCCAGCTTCTCTTGTGGGATCTTGGGGGCCCCTGGCCCCATGGAGCAGTGAAGAAGTATAAGACATGGATCTTCTCCTGGTGCTAGCTGTGTGGCTTTTGACAGGTTATTTAATCTGAGTTTCAGTTTCCTTTAAAGTAGAAATAAAAATCAAAATAAGGCCATACATTAAGATTCTTAACATATTGCCTGGCACATAATAGCCATTTAATGCATGGAAATGTATTAGTATTATTAATTGTGAGACAAAACTAATAATACAAGAGGAACAAATGGGAGAATAATTTAGGACAGGATATAATTAGAGATATTTTTAGGTGGCACAGACCAGACCAGCCTGCAGGCTTGGAAGCAAAGTAGAAAAGGAAATAGAAAAAAAAGTGGAGTTGGCCGGGTACAGTGGTTCACGCTTGTAATCCCAGCATATTGGGAGGCCGAGGCAGGTGGATCACAAGATTCCAGGAGTTTGAGACCAGCCTGGCCAACATGGTGAAATCCCATCTCTACTAAAATAAAAAAATTAGCCAGGTGTGGTGGCATGTGCCTATAGTCCTAGCCACTTGGGAGGCTGAAGCAGGAGAATCACTTGAAATCAGTAGGCAGAGGTGGCAGTGAGCCGAGATTGCGCCACTTCACTCCAGCCTGGGTGACAGAGTAAGACTCCGTCTCAAAAAAAAAAAAAAAAATGTGGAGTTAATTCATGATTCATGCATTCCTTTAAGGACTTACTACGTGTCCTTTCCCTGCTTCATAGCACCACCAGTTGTGATATGCTTATGTTCATTTATGTGTTTGTTTATTCCTGTATTTTCCACTGGACCGAACACCTCAGGAGGACAAGGATGATGTCTGTTTTCTTCCCAGCTATACCCTCGGAGCTTACTATAGTGCCACCCACATAATAGGTGCTCAGTAAATGTTTGTCAAATGAATGCCAGGCCTGCAGGGTGCTGGGATATACTGTAAGCCCTCATCGAGCTTTTATTCTAAAGGGGGAGCCTGAGTAATTTAGATCACTCCTCTGAGGGTGGCTTGGGGACTCTGTGAGAGCAGAAGCTGTCACGCAAAAGGCCCGAGTGACCAGAGAGGAAAAAGATGGGTGGTGGAGGGACCTGGCAGGGCTGGCACAGAAGCCCCCACAGGAGGGCAGCAGGGCACCTGAAGATAGGCTCAGGAGCCAAGGGAGAAAAGAAGAAAAAGGGTGCTTTCCCTTGGTCAAATCAGCGCCCAATTCAGGGCTTAGAGCCTGGGAGGGAAACCCCTAGAGGAGAAGCTGGAGTGAGCAGGCTTTGAACCACCTCCACGCCCACCCACCATGGGCTCCGGATGAGGGATGGGGCCTGGCTCTGGGCAACAGGAACTGGAGTAGAGTCAAGGCCAGACCAGGGAGCAGGACTGAAGGGCTCCAGGAGGTGCCTGTAGCTCTGTGAGGGCCCTAATGGAGAGAAGAGTGATGTCGGAGAAGCTGCCAGAATGATTTAATCCCACTGCAATGTGGCAGCTAATGAATTTCATATCCCCTCCCTAAGCTCAGCCGCTAGAGTAGCCCAAAGACAGAGGAGAGAAGAAGAAGGAGCAGAGAGCAAGGAGGGAGCTTAGAGTGCACAGCCGGAGGGGAGGAAAGGGTTGGCAGATGGAGGAATGGGAGAAAAGTGGGAGGCACGAAGACAGGAGGGAGAAAGAAAAGGCAGGGAGAGGAAAAGAAGAGAAAGAGCCAGAGAGGGAGGAAGGAGGAGGAGGAGGGAGGAAGGAGGAGAGAGGGAAACGGTCTCAGGTCCACAGCAATCAGAGTGTAACAGCCTCAGGAACCAAATTCCCCTTGGCCCACCCTCCCTGTGAATAGAGACAGCAACGGGAGCCCACCAGAAACCTGGACTTAGAGGTCGCTGGCTCCCCTTATCTCTCTGTGTCTTTCCCTTCCTCCTTCTGCCCACACTTCCCCACACCTCCCCACCTCCCCTTTTTTTCCCTCTCTCCAGAAAAAACAGGAGGGAGGGTGGCTGCCCGCCCGGAGAGCTACTGCATTCAGCAGGAGCCCGGCAGATGAGTAATGCTAATGGCATAATAGTGCTAAGGACAACACCTGCCCTTCACCCAGCACCTGTCTCCAAGGAGCCCAAAGCTGTCCTCAAATCCAAATTCCACTCAAGATGGAAAAGGGCTTCTCTGTCTTCCAACAAGGATCTAAATAGAAAGAAGCCTGAATTCCAGCATGAGAGAGGCAAGGTAGATGGAAGGAAGAACTTCCCAACAAGGTCATTTTAGCTTGAAGTGCTAGGCTGACCATGACTGGGGGAATGAGGCACAGTGGGGTAGAGAGCCTTCATTTCTGAGGGTCTCTAAGAAAGCAGAGCCATCACTGTCCTGGGCTGCCTTTCCCCAGGCCCCGCACCACTTCGGTAACTCCACAGCCTTTCATGGAGCCCTGGCCCATGGAGCAGACAGTTGGGGCTGCCAGCCACCTTCCAAAACATGTTTTGCCTTTTTGCCTTCATTCTGTGGCTTGGCTCAACTGGGCCTGAAAATTCCCCACACCTGGGGTGGGCCAAGATGGGATGCTCCATTGCTCACATAACTGTTTCCAGCCCCAGAGCCCTGCTCTGTCTTAGGAATGGCCTCCTGGAATGGGACAGCTGGCCCTGAGGCCCTGAGATTAGCAAGGGGCAGCTCCCAGGGACCATGTGGGGAGGAGGCCATGGCATGGAGGGTCTGGTCTTGCTGCTGCATGGACGCTAGTCCCACCCCAGAGTGCCTCCCAAGAAAGGGCACCTAGGATGGTCTCCCCAGGCATGGCTGGGGTGGCTGCAATGCACTGCAGAGAGGTGACTGGATGGAAGGGGCAGCATTTGTACCCAGTAAATTACTTCCCGAGCTCGTAGCCTCGGCCTGGAGCTCTCTTGGCTAAATCCATTGTTGATGACGCCAAAGCCAGCATAAACACTAGAAGGAAACACAGTGTCTCTTGGCATGGACACCTCATGACAGTGCTCTGGATCCTCCATCGTGCTATTTCACGAGCCACAGCCATAAAAAGTCTTTATCCTTTACTATGTACCTTTGGGGTCAGACAGTCGTTATGGGTCCTGGTGCCCTCAGATCATCCTGTCTGCTTCCGTATTGCTCATTTGAGGCTGTGAGTAAGCTTTTAGCGCAGAAGCAAGCATGCCTTGCTCCATGGAGCACTTTGACTAGTCCCCAGGCCCCTGCTACCCTCTCTGGGCACCGACCTGGGAGGGAGAACAAGGATAAAGCCAAGCGTGGCCCCACTTTCCCACACCATCAGCTGGGAGACTCCCTTCTCTTGGCACTCTTGGGAAATGCCAGGCTGACCAGGGATACACAGCCCCTCTGCCTGAGGCATATTCCACAGAAAGGCAGAGCCAGGCTTTGTAAAGCGTGGGCGTAGGGGTTCAGGGAAAATCCATAAGTGAGTGTGTGCGAGTGGAAGGCAGAGTAAGCATAGGAACAGAGGGGTCTGCTCAGGTGGGCTGCCTGCCAGGGAAGAATGCCAGCCTAGGAGGGCTCAGGCAGTAGACAGGTAGGGAACATGGCTGGTGACATCCTGCAGTAGCAGTTCCAAGCCTGGGAGGCTGGGGAGGGAGTACATGGACTGAGCATGTTCTTGGTATTGGTCTTTGCCTCTGGCTGGGTCATTTGCTTGTGGTGGGGCAGGAGTCGGGAGGCTCACAGGCTCAGAAGGCAGCGGGGTGGGCAGACACGTGGCCCAGCCCCTGAACCCTGTGATTTGGCTCTGAACAAGGCTAGGGCTGTGCACGGGGGGTTAGAAGGAGGGGCCTGGAGAGGCCAAGAGGAAGACCAAGCACCACTCCCCGAGCTGCAGGCCAACCAGTCATTTTTCCAGACTGGCCAAGCAGAACAAAATAAAGGAGAAATAACAAAGAAAGGAGGCCGAAGCTTGTGGGAGAAATGAGGGGAGTGGGCGAGGGTGGGTAGCACCTGCTGGAAGAGATGACAATTCTGTTATTTCATTGAAAGCCACAGTCTGTACCAGGCCTCAGGAGAACACCTTTCCAACCCAGTTTGACACCAGAGCTTATGTGGGCAGGGACAGAGTCATATCATGTCTTGTTAACACACACATAAACACACACTCACTAGCTCAGAGCCTGCAGATTACCATTCATTCTAAGGGCATTTATCAGGACCGCATAGACAGCGTGAATCCCAGAGTCAGGCTGCCTGGGTTCAAATCCCAGCTTCAACCCTTACTGTAATACCTTAACACTTACTGACTGTATGATAACACTCTGCTTTAGCTTCCTCATCTGTAAAGTGGGGATGGTAATAATAGCTCCTACTCCTGAGGCTGTTATGAGGATTAAATGAGCCAATGCCCTGTAAAGCACATGCATGGCACATAGTAAGTACTCTGTAAGGGCTAGCTATCCTGACCATTATTATTTAATTATTTGCCAGGAGCTGGGTTTCTGCCTTGGAGACCCTTCAATCACACAGTAGGCAGACGTGGAAACAAGAAGTAACAGTGCTGTGCAGAGCTGTGGCCCAGGGAGGCACAGTCAAGAGTGAGCTCACTCTGCCCGTGGGAACCGAGGAGAGCCTCACACAGGAGGTAACATTTGATTTGGGCCTTGCAGGATGAATAGGAATTCCCCCAAATGGAGAACAGGAGAAAGAAGGACAGCTGAACTCAGACTGGGCAAAGGCATAGAGGCATAAAAACTCAGGGAACCAGCCGGGTGCGGTGACTCATGCCTGTAATCCCAGCACTTAGGAAGGCCGAGGCGGGTGGATCATCTGAGTTCAGGAGTTTGAGACCAGCCTGGCCAACATGGCGTAACCCCATCTCTACTAAAAATACAAAAAATAGCCAGGCATGGTGGTGCGCACCTATAATCCCAGCTACTTGGGAGGTTGAGGCACGAGAATCGCTTGAACCTGGGAGGTGGAGGTTGCAGTGAGCCAAGATCATGCCATTGCAATCCAGCCTTGGCGACAGAACGAGACTCTGTCTCACAAACAAAACAAAACAAAAAACGCAGGGAACCAGGATCCCATGAGTCTGGTTCTCTGGTTCCACAGGAACTATGAAAGGAAATGAGAATGGCAAGAAAGTCAGGTCAGGCTGCAGGGTCTCAAATGTCATGCCAAGGCATTTGAATTTTATTCTATAAATACCTGAGAGACATTGCAAAATTTTAAGCAAGGGAATTACATGATCAGGTTTGTGTTTGAGGAAATAACACACTTGTTCGGTCATGGAAAACAGATTAGAAGATGAGAAGCCTTCAGGAAAAAAATAAAAACAGGAGGATTTTGCAATTATTCAGACAAACACGCTAAGAGGAGAAAGTGTTCTAGCGCTTCTCGGCTCACTGCCCGATTCCTGCTGGGGCCAGAGTGCAGGATCCTGAGCGCCTACTCTGTGTTAGAACCATGTAGGTCTTGGGACTCCAAGTAGGAATCCGGTTTGGCACAGGCCCATGGGAGCTTGTGGATAAGGCAGACAGGAGAGCAGAGAAGGGCGAGGAAGTGGCACGGTTCCTGGGAGGGCCATCCACTGGGGGACTGCTGCAGCAAACGGAGAGACCAGGGGTCAAAGAGGAGAGTGCTGTCGGGAGAGCATCCTAGAAGATGTAACACCTGGGGGGGTGAAGGGCTTTCTTTTTTTCTTTTTTCTTTATTTCTTTCTTTCTTTTTTTTTTTTTTTTTTGAGATGGAGTCTTACTGTGTCACCCAGGCTGGAGTGCAATGGTGTGGTCTCAGCTCACTGCAACCTCCACCTCCCGGGTTCAAGCCATTCTCCCGTCTCAGCCTCCCGAATAGCTGGGACTACAGGCACATGCCACCACACCCTGCTAATTTTTGTATTTTTAGTAGAGACAGGGTTTCACTATGTTGATCACGCTGGTCTCAAACTCCTGACCTCGTGATCCACCCGCCTCGGCCTCCCAAAGTGCTGGGATTACAGGTATAAGTGAAGAAGGGCTTTCTACATGGAAGGAGCAGTGGGCAAAGGCATGCAGAGGTGAAATCTCTTGGAGTACTCTGGCTGCTGTGAGACAGTCACATGCTTGGAGTCTAGACTTTGAGAAACAGGGCTGGAAAGGTAAGCAGGAGACAGACCATGGAGCTTGGACTGCATTCTACAGGTCTAATTATCAGCAAAGGGCACAGATCAGAATCATTCTTGATGACAGCCTGGAAAACGCACATGTATTTGAACCAGCATCTCTAGGGCTGGGGCCTCAGGCACTTTCAGGAACACTTAGGTGAATCTAACATGTGCTGTGGGCCAAGAACAATGGTCATGGGGACAGGGAACCATGCAAGGTGACCTGAGGAAGAGTCAGGTGGAGGGTGGAGGGCAGGGAGACCCATCAGGACACCGTAGCAGTGGGCCAGGGTCTAGAAGAAAACAGTGCCATGACAGGAGAGAGGGGGCCAGCTGTCAGGCCATCGAGGAAATAGAACTGACTGGACTTGGAGAGTCCAGGGCGTGGGGAGCAGGGTGAAGGGAACAGTTGAAAGCAACTCTGTCTTTTAAGAAGGAGTAACTGAAACCTAGATCAGTGGTTCTTAACAGTTTTAAGTGCAAAGATTTCTTTTCAACTTAAAAAAGAAGTATGTGATGATAGTTGGACTTGTATGAATACATAATGACACAAAGCTACATGAATTTAAAGATGATTTTAAATAATCTGCATTTTATTCATCACAACAGTATACATACACACAAACAAGAACATCATAGGAAGACGACCTGGGTTCAAATCTTATCTCTGCCATTACTAGATTTGTGACCTTTGGAATGTAAACTGTCTGTGCCTCAGTCTCTCACCTGTTAAATGAGTATTATAGAAGTCCCTGCCTCATTGAGCTAAGAAGGGTGGGCTAAGAAGGGTGCTTTGCCTATAATAATTCTCAAGAGGCTTTATTATTGTTACTGTTATTCAATTTAGAGACGTTGCTTGGTGCACAAATGGATGTGGGGACCCCCAAGGTCATGTGTGGGGGTCCCTGGCAGGGCTGCCTTGCTCCTGCCCTCCTAGACCTTGTAATATGTGGCATAACTGACCACACATGTCCACAGACTGGCCATCGTCGCAGGATGCAGTGGGACTGTGCCTGTATGAGGCAGTGTCATTACCCAATAGTCTATTACGTGGAGCAGGATGGCATTTGGAAGCTTGCTCAGGATGATACCTGGAACCTGGATATTCGATCCAGGTGCTTGTGACTTGCTGTGACTTGTGACTTTTACAACATAAAATTAAATTAGGCTGGGTTTCAGGATGATGTGATTGGGAGATCCCAGAACCTAGGAGGACCTCACCTTGGAAGGCAAAATGCCATCACCACTCACTCGAGCCTGGCTTCTGGGAGACCTAGGGAAGCCCAGAGCAGTGCTTACTGAGCAGCCCCAGGCTAGTGCTGTCTGCTAACACCAGCTGACGGTGTAGCCTTTGCACTTAGGCCTAAAAGCCATGTCTATAGCATTCGTGTATCAGCACCCTCTTTCCCACCAGGTGTCAACAGCCCTCTCTCTGTAGGACTCTCTGTAGGACTGCTCAGATGGTCCACAAGCTGACAACCCCTCAACAGGATCACGGACAATTTGCACAGAGGGATTTAGGGGTTCTCCAGTCCGGCTGTGCTCACTGTGTGGTCGACAGATAAGTTTTATTTCTTCCTCCGCTGCCTTTGCCCTGTCCCTTCCTCTCATCGAAACAAGCAGATCAGATCTGTGGGGAGGCAGGAAGCAGAAGCCGCCCGCATGTGCCTTTGGCTTCATTTTCCATAAGCCTAGGTTCTTGGGGGCTTCTGGGCATAGACACAGTGTCTTGGCCAGAAGAAAGGGGAACATGGAAACTTCTTTCCCCAGAAAATAAAAGGGCCCCTGGCTTTAATGTGCATGTAAAAGGAGTTGAGCTGGAGGAGAATGAGAGCCCTGAGAGAGGGAATCGGGGAGCCTGCCCCTGGCAGAGTGCCAGGCAGCCAGCATGTTTCCAGAGAGGAAAGTTCCTGCAGAAAGTTCTTGTCCCCTACATGTAGCCTAGGAAATGTCAGAGGGCTGCTCGGCCAGAAGGGGCCTGGTGGGATGGAGGGTGTGCCCCACAGCAGCATCAGCCAGGAGCCATGTACGTCCCCTCCCCACAGACACCCTCCATCCCCGTTGGAGCTGCCACTGCATAAACCTGCCTCAAGCTGCTGGGTGGCCCCCCACGGGTACCAAGGACTGAGATGGAGTATTTCACGATCCTGGTGAAATGAGCACTTGGATCCAGAAATTAGAGAAGTGAAATGATAGGATAAAGTTGTGTTTCTGTCACTACTGAGCTGATGGACTGCCTTGAATACCTGAGACATAAAAGGAGAAAACTGAGGCTCAGGAAGGGCTGCGTAGCCCAAGGCCGCCCCGTTAGCATGGAGAGGAGGCAGAGCCAGGCCTGCAACCAAGTTTGTGAGACTCCAACTCCAGCACTGCCTACCTTAAAAATGAGGAGGTCTCCATCCTGGCTAACATGGTGAAACCCCGTCTCTACTAAAAAATACAAAAAATTAGCCAGGCGTGGTGGCGGGCGCCTGTAGTCCCAGCTACTTGGGAGGCTAAGCCGGAGAATGGCGTGAATCCAGGAGGCGGAGCTCGAAGTGAGCCAAGATTGTGCCACTGCACTCTAGCCTGGGCGACAGAGTGAGACTCCATCTCAAAAAAAAAAAAAAAAAAAAAAAAATGAGGAGCCCAGGCCGGTGAGGTGGCTCACTCCTGTAATCCCAGCACTTTGGGAGGCCAAGGGAGGAAGATTACCTGAGGTCAGGAGTTCGAGGCCAAGACCAGCCTGGTCAACATGGTGAAGCCCCTTCTCTACTAAAAATACAAAAATTAGCCGGGTTTGGTGGCGGGCACCTGTAATCCCAGCTACTCGGGAGGCTGAGACAGGAGAATCACTTGAACCCTGGAGACAGAGATTGCAGTGAGCCGAGATTGCACCATTGCACACCAGCCTGGCGACAAGAGGGAGACTCTGTCACAAAAAAAAAAAAAAAAAAAAAAAAGAGGAGCCCAAATGTTCACCAAGAGAGACTGTCAACTAAATAAATATTGGGGGGTGGGGGCAGAGAAAGAATCACCAAAAGGACCAATATGATCATCTTCAAAAGATACCTGTACCACTAAGTGAAAATAAAAGTGCATAGCTGCTTATTTGTTACTAGTGTGTACCTTAAATAAATCTGTGAGGACACAAGAAACTGGCGCACGGTCCTCTGGGGGAAAGTGAGTGATGAGGGGATAGGCAAGGGAAAAGACTTTTTCCCTATGCAAGCTCTTATACCTCTTAGATTTTCAATCAAGAGAATGTATTACCTATTCAAAAAATAATAACCTTTTTTTAAAAAAAGAGGGTGACAGAGAATCTCCTTGTTCAACCCTCTTAAATTCAATGAAACAGACCCCTACTGAGCACCCAGGGTGTGCCAAGCCGTTGGTGGGTGCTGTGGGTTATACCATGATGAACAGGATGCTGTCTCTGCCCAGCAGGGGCCCACTCACCCCAGGCAACCCAGGCCCCCCAGGCTGGAGGGTGGGACAGGCTGCCACAGGACTCACACAGCTTCTCCCCCGTTATGCATTTGCCCAGACCCCACCCACCCTGGACTGGGAGCCTCAACTAGTACAGGGTGAGGGTCCGTCCAGGGCCAGCCTCTGTGGGTCCTGATGACCACTGAGCAGTTTGAGCCAAACTCTTCGGGCCCACACTGCTCCTTCCCGGCAAAGTCTCAGGACCACCACGGGGGAGGTGGGAAGCTTGAGTACCTCCCTCCTGTACTTCTATGGAAAGAGTATTACACAATTGTGTCCTTTCTTCTCTTGCTTTAAGCACTCACTGCTTGTAACCAAGGCAGCAATTACTGTGAGGGTCAAAGAAATGGTAAGCCCCCCAGATGGATTTCGGTCTGGATGGGAAGTGTGGGCAGGTCCCAACTCTGCAAATGCAGCTGAAACCCACCAACTTGGAGAGCCCCCTCCCTCTGCTGCCTGGCCCTCCCTGCATTCTGTCTCCTAACCATGCTGCCCCTAGCCCTCTCCTAGGACCAGGCAGCAGTAGCAGCAACAATGTGCATATCTGGACTTCTCACCATATGCCCCAGCATTCACATCATGTGCCTGTGACTGTTCTCTGGCTACACCAGCAAGAGATAAATACCTCCCCTGGGTTGAAGACACACCACTGGTGTCCCTGAGACTCTAGGAGAGTAGAGGAGGCTCTTCCTGGAGGATCCACATAGTCCCAGGGTGCATGAAGCCAGTGAATCACAAAATACTCCCCTGCCATTGCTGCCAATGATCCTTGTGTTATCTTGGGTATACCCTGGGAGGGAGATGGGGCAGATGAGAAAACCAAGGCTCGTGTGCTGAGACCTACTCACCAGGTAGCTAGAGAACAGCAGAGTTGACATCTTAATCCAGGTTTCCTAACCCCAAACCTTATACTCTCTCTTCACAGTATTGTTGGAAGAGCACTGAGAGGTCATTTGGTACAACCTCGTGTTTTATAAATGGCAAACTGAGGTCAGAGAGGGAGAGAGACATCTTCAAGGTCACACAGCATGCAATGGGGCAAAGCCAGGTCCCAAGAACCTGGACCCCTGTCTACCAGGATGGCGACTGTGTTGAACTGGGAAGTGCTTGTCCTGACTAAAGGTGTTCAAATCCTTTTTTTTTTTTTTAACCAATGCTTCAAAATATACCAGTAGGGTTTGTGGGAGTGGGGAACACAGAAGAAACAAGATTGGCCATGAGTCGGTAATTGTTGAAGCTAGGTATTAGATAATGGGGATATTAATACTATACTGTGTAAATATGTATACGTTTTAAAATTTCCACAAAACTTTTAAAAAATTAACGTGCTGTCAAAAAAAATTAGGTACTCAAGCCATATTAGGTCCACAAGCCACTGATTAGCAAACTCTATTCTGGACACTCCTGAATATCCTGCTGGCCATGTCTATACTTCTTTCCAATTCTCTCTGCATAGCGTGGGATGCGGGAGATAGGAGAGGGAGGAAGGGAGATAACTGGCTTAGGCAGGGCTTGGAAGTTGGCCATCCATTCCCGAGAGCATAGACTCTTGGGATTTGGATGGCTGTCATACAAATGGATACAGGTGACACCCCTGCCCCTGCCCATACTCCACACTCCTTCCAGTCTGTCTATCCCCACAGACACTCTACCCATCATCCCTGTACCTCACTGTACTTTGCTCACCTTATTATTTTTTGAGACAGGGTCTTGCTCTGTGACCCAGGCTGGAGGGCACTGGCGTAATCATAGCTCATTACAGCCTTGGTCTCCTGGCCTCAAATAATCCTCTCACCTCAGTCTCCTAAGTAGCTGGGACTTCAGGTACACACCACCACACCCAGCTAATTTTTAAATTATTTGTACAAACAGGGTCCCCCCATATGGCCCAGGCTGGTCTCGAACTCCTGGGCTCCATTAATCTTCTGCCTTCGTCTCCCATAGTGCTGGGATTACAGACATGAGTCTCCGTGCCCAGCCAGTCTTTTTTGCCCTCTATCATCTACCACCCACCATACCAAGGGAAACAAGCAAATCTGGCGTCTGATGTTCCCGGCCTGCAGAAGACGCCATATCCCATCTGGATGAGAAATGAAGCACATGAGCAGCCTGGCAGAGCCACAGTTAATGTGAACCTGGAGAGGAACCGTGCTGTCTTCCAGCAAGACCTCACCAGCAGGGCGTGAAGCCATGAGATCTGGGGTGGAAGGGGGTTGGAGAAAGGTCTGGGTTTTATTTTTCCTTCTCCTTTTCTTAGGCTAATTACCATTCATCGCAATCCCTTTCCTAAACCCTAATATCTTCCCAGTTTATAAAGTGCTCTCACATTTACAATATTTAATCTTCCCAACCCTGTGAGGTCAATATTATCCATATTTTGTAAATGAGGAAACTGAAGGTCCTCATGATCAAGTGATTCACCTAAGACCATAGCTTGTGGGTGGCTGAGCCCAGGGCTGCAGACCCTAATTTTAATGTTCTCTCCTCTACCCCATATTGCGGAGGGCAGGCAGGCAGTCCCCTGTCATGGGGCTCTGCAGCTCTCCATGGAACCAATAATGGAGAAGAAAATTGCGTTGCATTTTCTAAGTAGTCAGCTGGGATGGCAGGAATTTATTTATTTTATTTACTTATTTATTTTTTGAGACAGAGTCACGCTCTTGTTGCCCAGGCTGGAGTGCAGTGGCACGATCTTGGCTCACTGCAAGCTTTGCCTCCCAGGTTCAAGCAATTCTCCTGCCTCAGCCTCCCTAGTAGCTGGGACTACAGATGCCCGCCACCACACCCAGCTAATTTTTTTGTATTTTTAGTACAGACAGGGTTTCACCATGTTGGCCAGGTTGGCCTCAAACTCCTGACCTCAGGTGATCCGCCTGCCTCTGCCTCCCACAGTACTGGGATTACAGGCGTGAGCCACTGTGCCTGGCCATGGCAGGAAATTTTGATGGGCATCTACTTACCTGCAAGTGTGTTGTGCTTTCTTAATTGAGGGGCATTGTTAGAGGATTGTTAGAGGTAGTGGTGTTACTTGACTGGGTCTTCTGGGGTGTTGATGTGCACAGGGGAAATTTGGATTTCCCATCACTTTGTGTGATGACCACACAGCCCCTAAATCTCACCTAAGTGTGATATGGAGAAGCTGAAAGAAGCCACTACATTGTCCACATGAGCTAGGAACAGTGACTTTAGGTCTTACATTAAATCTTAATTCTGCCTTAACTTTGCTGTGCAACTCAGGCCAGACTTCTCCCTCTCTGGTTCTCAGAACAGCCCTGGCAGCCAAACCGAAGTTATCTCCTATGCCAGCCTGAGACTCCACTCCCTTTGCAACCTCCTGGAGAAGATAACTTAGGGAAAGACTGTCACTGCTCAGAGGAAGCATCCCAAACCCCTCACTGGTTTAGGAATTTAACACTACCGAGCAACGGCCCCAGAAGGCAAGGCGATTGTTAGGAGGAATTAAACAGGCTAGTGCTGGACCCAGCCATCCAGTCCTGGCTTACACAGAGGTTGCTTTTCATGCCTTTTCACTCTGTTAATTTGGCTTGTTTTCCAAACATGGGTCAAACAACCCCTCTCCAGAAGCGGCAGCAGCAGAAGGAAATGTTATTAAAAATGAGTCTGTTAGTGGGAATGGTGTGTGGATGAAGTCTTTGGGAGTTTTGGCTGCCAAATAAAGACTTTATTGTCATTCCTCCTTTCCCAAGCTCCCTCCCTCTCTCCTCCCCTCCCCTCCCTCCCTCCTCCCTCCTCTCCTCCCCTCCCTCCCTATGATCTGCCCCTCCCTCCCCCCAAGCTAACCTCCCCACCCCAATAGGATCTGGTGGAAGAAAAGTCAGGCAAACACAAGCACGCACACACCACTGGGAGATCAGATCTTCTAGCTGGCTCTCTGCTGCCACAGCTCCGCCGAAGGGAGGGGGTGGAAGAGGAGGACTAAACTCAGAGCTGAGAGGAGAGGCAGGTGTGTGCAGGTAAGCCCAGTTGGGAGATGGGCAGGAGACTGGGAAGAATCTTTCATCCAGTAAGTTTCCTCCAGCTCTGTCCATTTATTGATCTAGTCTCTATCCTCTCACTCCTTCCTTCCTCCCACCTCTTTCTCCTCTCAAATGAGTTCAAATTTAGTCTTCCTAACTTCTTTCCTATAGCCTCTTCCTTTTCTTTTCATCACTCTGTACCCCTATATTTGCTTACTGCAAAAGTTAAGCTTTCCTGCTGCAGATGTTTGTTGTAGCACAGAGAGCCACGCTGCACAAAGTGTTTCTACAGATCAGGTGTTTCCATAGAAACTGGACTCCAGAACCCATTTCTTTGCACCTTTTGTGTATTGTCACACATTGTGGAAGTCACACACATCACACGGAGGCTGCACGTTCACTACCATCACCCCACACGACCATACAAAATGAAGACATCCTGTCCATTCACCTCTGCCCTCTGCATCTGACATGCAGAGCTAGACCACATCATCACCAGACACCAGCAGACACACACACACATGCATGCACACATGTTCCCTGCATCTTGTCTCTCGCCCTCTCACACACACCTCCCTAGCTGTAAGAGCAAAGATAAAGTACGTTTTCCCACTGAGATGGCAGAGCCAGAAGAAAATCTTGCATCCCAAGTCCAGGCCGAATAGGGAGGAGATAAGCAAGAGCGGGAGCTGGAAGGGTTTCTTCATTATTTAGGGCTTCACTGGGTAGGAGGGAGAGAAAAACGGCTTTTTCCAACCTGCACAGTGTCTTCTCAGCAGCTTTCAATTTCTGTCTCACTGGTCCAAACCACTTGGCTTTTGGAAAGAAAGAAGAAAGCGACCCAGTTCCCAATCCTTGAAGGTCCTAATTCCCAGCTCTGGGGACAGTTCATTTTTTTATTTTTTTTTCCTGCAGGCAGCCAGAAAAATATTTTTCTTTAAAGCCGTTCTGAAATTATTCCAACCATTTAGGTTGGCAAAAGGTCCTGTGGCAGAGGAGAAAAAAAAAAAAAGGCAGCAGTTCCTTAAGCAGTTGGGGAGGGGAAAACTGAAGGGCGGCCCCTCTCCTGCTCCCCTGCTCATTCCTCTCTATTAATAGAGAGGGTCTGTCCCAAGGCAGGCGGGGTGTAGGGAGATCAGGGGTCCCACACACAGCTGATCTTCACAGTCACCTAAGGGCTGGAGAGGGAGGAGTGTGGAGGGCTTACTAAAAATACAGATGTCGGCTCTCACTGCAGATCTACTGAATCGAGACCCAGGAATCTTGTTTTAATACTTCAGGAGATTCTGATGGTCCACCAGGGCTCGAGAATCAGGGGCCTGAGAGAGAGCTTTGCTGTAATTTTTAAGCCCAAGACTCCGGCAGTGTTAGCTGGGCAGAAGGACTGTGTCCTGGAAAAGGAGCACCAGAGTGTCCCAAATAGGCCACCTCTTTTTTGGGGAGTGGGAGTAAACAGGGAAGAGCTGTCTCCCTCTCTCCTCCTTGCAAGCACAAGCAGCCATATATACCACAGAGGAACATTCCAGTAAGAAAGTTCCCCCAAGATGGCTCCACAGAGCTTCTGTTTCCCCTCACCTGTTAATCTGCCTGCCCCAGGACCCCAGGAGCATGTGCTGGGCCCTTCCCCTGACCCTTATAGGTCCCTGCTCCTCCTTCCCAGCAGCCACCTGTCTGGGCTCTCACAGAGGGTGAGCTGAACACTTTCTTCATGCCCCCTCCACCTCCCTAGTGGGCAATCCCATTTATTGGGCATGTGAGTGAAGCATTTCAAGGCTGGAAGGGGCAAAAAGCTGGGAGAAGTCAAGAATCGCAGTGGAACTCCATGGCCCACTGAGGAAGGCAGACTTGCACCTTCTGTGGCCAGTGTCCCCTCACCTGTTGCAGAAAGCATCGGTGAGAAGTTGGTGAATTAGAAAGACAGAACAAGCTTTCCCTAGGTGGCTGGGGACTTCCAGAGTCTCCTCAGTTAGTTGTTTCTGAGACCCAAGTGTGATCTCACAAGCCACAAAGGGGAGGAAGTTGCTCTGTGTGGAAGAGCTGGTACCCCACTCACAAGGATCCCTGCCTTCGAGCAGTGCATGGGGGCTGCCCTCTAGCCAGGCTGGAGGGAAGGAGACCCCATTACTTTGAAATAATATCAACAAGACCTTAACATTCAGAAAACACTCACTTTGCATGTATTAACTCATTTAACCCTCAAAACAGAAAAGAAGGTGTTAGTATCCCCATTTTATAGAGCAGAAAAGCAATTGCTTTGCCTAAGCCTACCTAGCTAAGCATCTGAATGAAGAACTGCAGGATTGGGTCTCAGATCTATAATCACTCAAGGCATCAGACACACTCTTCTAGGCTTTCTTCAAGGCTTGGAGATGCTGGGGGAATGGGGCAGAGGATATGGTAGGTGGCGGGCTGTCAGAGAAGAGTCGTCTCACCCTGGTTTCTTCCCCACCGCTCAGAATGGAAAACTTTCTCTTCTAAACTAGTGGCCTGAGGCCAGAAAATCTTCATTCTGTTTACACTTTGCCTTGTGGTAGACACTGGGGAGACAGATGGTCTCTCCATAATAGTGTTATTTTTATTTTTAGCACTTTTTGATCTGTAGTGCATTTTAAAGCTGCTAACTGCACTTGCTTCTGACAATTGGGTAAGGAATATAGGTATAGGGAAGATTTTTTTATTCCCATTTTACAGATAAGAAAACTGAGGCCCAGAACAGGGTTCGCATCACTAGGTAGTGGTGGAGGGGTGAGAATCTTCTCTCCTAACTAGTATGCACCACAGGCTCTCCTCCCACTGCCCCAGGCAAGCTCATCCTTGTATCGTTTCACCTTCCTAGAAAGGGGCATCTTGAAGTCATCATGCCCCCATAAGGCTCCTTTGTTATCTCAGGACCACATCAGCCCTAATGGGGGCCTTGAAAGGGCCTCAGGCTCACTCCTCTACTAACTCTGCTCATAAATTGGCAAAGACTGCTTGATTCTCCCTGCTTCCAACACCCTTCTGGACTACAGGAAGAGATACAGAGAGCAGGATGGCTTTCAGACACCTAGGTTGAGAACAGAAAGAAGGGAAAAAAGAGAGAGGGGTGTTCCGACATTCACCGGCACAGCGCTAGGTCAGAAGCAGCCCCATTCTCCACTGCAGGGTAGCTCTGGGTCAAGGCATGGAGGCTTAGGGGTGACCAATTAGACAGGAGATCTGACAAGTAAGAAGAATGCCAGTTCAGAGTGCGGCGTAACCCTGCTGCTAGCCCTGCCTAGCCCTGGGAGACAAACCCAACCTCATTCCCAGCCCAACCTCAACCTCTCCATACAAAGCCAATTAGCCTTAAATAGCTGCTCCTAATGACTTGACCAACCCATCAGGACTTCCACCCAACCCTGCCCTGAGCAGAAACATTCCACCACTCCTGGGTTTTAACATTAAATTAATGAGAGAGATAGGGAAGGGGGCTATCTCACTTTAAAAATCAAGGAGTCCTTGGGGCGCTGTGGCTCATGCCTGTAATCCCAGCACTTTGGGAGACTGAGGAGGACAGATCACTTGAGCTCAGGGGTTGGAGACCAGCCTGGGCAACATGGTAAAACCCCATCTCTACAAAAAAGACAAAAATTAGCCAGCTGTGGTAGCACATGCCTATAGTACTAGCTGCTCAGGACGCTGAGATGGAAGGATCACCTGAGCCCAGGGAGGTTAAGGCTGCAGTGAGCTGTGATTGCACTACTGCACTCTAGCCTGGTCAACAAAGGGAGACCCTGTATCACCAAAAAAAAAAAAAAAAAAAAAAAAAAAAAATCAAGGAGTCTCTCTAGAGAATCTGCTGTTTATAAACAAATAAATGAGTAAGTAAGCCTCTGCCACTTGCAGAGATTTTGCACTTTATAACATGCCTTCAAATGCATGATCTCATTTGATCCTCACACAGATGAGGAGCCCGGGTTGGAGAGTCAGAGCCAGGAGTCAAGCCCAGATCCACAATAGTTGGAATTGAAATTAGAATTTAAAACTCTCTTAGAGGCTGGGTGCAGTGGCTCACACCTGTAATCTCAGCAATTTGAAAGGCCGAGGTGGGAGGATTGCTTGAGCTTAGGAGTTCAAGACCAGCCTGAGCAATACAGTGAGACCCCCATCTCATTTTTGTTTAAAGTGAAAAAAGAAAAAAAAATTAAGATTCTCTTAGGAAACGTTCTTTAATGTGGAGAGTGAATGTTGGGTTGGGCAAAGCAATTGCCTTTCTCTTCCGTGAAGCAGCAGCTTTTCCAGAACTGATGGTGGAGAGCAGAACTGCATGCAGTTGGCTGTTGTAGGTGGTCAACAAACCTTCACTGATTGAGCAATGAGCAGAGCCCAGTAGAAAGCTGTGGGTGGAGAAGTGCACTTGTGAAAGCATAAGAAAAATTTAAAAACACACACATGGACCCATCCTAAGGAATCTTATGATTGGACAGAAGTTTCTAGAAGGCAGGAGCATAGAGTGTGGGTCTGAGGCTTTGTAGGAGGGACTATGACTACCCATGGAGTCCAGGTACCCTCAGTCTGTCACACAGATTCTGGTTTCAGAGACCTAGGACATCACGGAGCACTGCCAGAGAGAATGGCTGTGCTGTCAGCTGTCAGAACTTTTCATCCTGCCTCATGGCAAAGCTCCGGCAGGAAGGGGCATCACCCCATGAGAAAAGCCTTAGAAATGAATGCTATTTCCTTAAGAGAGAAGCATCCCTGCACTTGGAATGGTTCTGATTCAGCCCTGGGGCTGAGGGAAGGGGAGGAGAGCAGGCTCAGCTTCCCCACATAACTTGCTCCTGGGAGCATTTCCTGGGGAACCTCCTGTTGGCTCTGGGAGCAGCTTGGCTAGGCCCAGAGGTTTGGAATGTAAACGGGTCAGAGGACTAGTGAAAAGATAAGTTCCCAAAGGGTCTGGTGCTGCACATGGGGATGAGGAAGGCCTGTGTTTACTGTGGATGAGAAGGCGCGCACAGCCAGCCTGCTGGGTGGAGCTGTGAGTAACCTGCCTGTTCCTCTCACCCCTGACAATGAAGACCAGGGCTGCCCTGGCACTGAGCCAAGGAAACCCCGCCCCGCCCAGCACAGGTCACAGCCACAGTGCCTCACTGCTTTTGCTGGAAGCCCTGGGCAAATTGGTGCCCAGTCCCTGGCATATGCTTTCGGTGACAAAGGCAATGAAGGGATATAGAAAAACTCCCGCCAGTGCTGGGAGCCTCCTTGGGACAGGGCTTCTCACAGTATGAAAGATTTCTAGATCATTTCTAGGCTTCTGGGTGATTAGAAAATAAATTTTTTTTTTTAAATCAGGGTCACAAAAATTGAGGCTTTTAGAAATGTTTGTTTTAGAATACCAATGCTTTAACTACCCCCTTAATTTATATGCAAGATGACTGTTCTGTTTTCCAGAAAATTACAGAACTTACACAATGTTAATTCATAGTTCACCAATTACAAGTGAAGTGGGGTTCAGCCAACAAGACTCAAGCTTAAAGTTTTGCAATTAATGCCTTCTCTTTTTAACCCTTGCAATGTATCTCTGACAATGTTATATCCTTAACGGGAGATCAAGCCAAAAACCTAACTGCAAGGTCCTTTGTGATAGGAGGCCAGGGAAAATGGCCTTCCAGACCTCCTTGGAGAGGCCTGCCTTGGAAGAGACCACCTTAGAGGGAGGTGGAGAAAGACAGTCTCTGCCTTCCTTCCCTTCCGCCTTCCTTCTTTCCTTCCAATACTCAGTGTACTGCGTATGGGCTCATATACGCACACAGAGGATAAGTGAGTGAGTTTGCTTATGTGCATGGGACCTGAAGAGGTGTGTGTGTGAGTGTGCAGACTGGATCTGCTGTTAAACAGCATCTTGGCCTTGGCGAGCCACTTCTTCCTTCCAGTCCTCAGTTTTTGCAAATGGTGGGGTCTGGAGTTGATTGGTGGATTTCAAGCCATTTTTAGCAAAGAAACGTGTCCCCTGCCCCTCAACAAATGAATGCTTCGGCTAAACCTCAATATATATAATAGGTTTTTTTAAAGAGAGCTGCTGAGGTTGGCACAGGGATGGGTTGAGGGTACCCCAGGGCCATCTCCTCAGTCTCCTCCCCACAGGGGTATGTCACAGAAATGAAAGCAGAGTTGGAAAACCACTAGGTTATAGGATCTTTAAGGACCTTTCTGGATTTAACCAGGACGCTAAGGTTCATACATCCTAACATCCCTCTCATGAAGACACTGATGATTTTCTCATGCTGTGAATGGGAGGACTGAGGGCCAGAGTGGTTAAGGGTCTTCTCTGACAAGCCCCAGGACTCCTGACTCGGAGTCCAGTGTGCTTTCTTTCTTTCTTTTTTTTTTTTTGAGAAAGAGTTTTGCTCTTGTTGCCCAGGCTGGAGTGCATTGGTGCAATCTCGGCTCACTGCAACCTCCTCCTCCTGGGTTCAAGCGATTCTCCTGCCTCAGCCTCCCAAGTAGCTGAGATTACAGGTGTCCAACACCACACCCTGCTAATTTTTTGTATTTAGTAGAGATGGGGTTTCTCCATGTTGGTCAGGCTGATCTCGAACTCCTGACCTGAAGTGATCCACCCGCCTTGGCCTCCCAAAGTGCTGGGATTACAGGCTTGTATGCCACTGTCCCACCAGCCCCAATGTGCCTTTTTTTTTTTTTTTTTTTTTTTTGAGATGGAGTCTCACTCTGTCACCCAGGCTGGAGTGCAGTGGTGCAATCTCGGCTCACTGCAAACTCCGCCTCCCGGGTTCACGCCATTCTCCTGCCTCAGCCTCCCAAGTAGCTGGGATTACAGGCACCCGCCACCACGCCTGGCTAATTTTTTGTATTTTTAGTAGAGACAGGGTTTCACCGTGTTAGCCAGGATGGTCTCGATCTCCTGACCTCATGATCTGCCCACCTTGGCCTCCCAAAGTGCTGGATTACAGGTGTGAGCCACCGCACCTGGCCACCAATGTGCTTTCTACCAGCATGTCCCCCGCCCTCTTCAGAGCAGGCTCAACACATCGAGTGGCTAAGCCAATGGCCAGGGAATCCAGAGCCTCAAGCCCTTGTTATTCCCTTACCTGCTGGGTACAGGCAAACAAGGAGATGCTTCCACAGCTCCCTGAGCTCTGCCCATCTTCCCTAGAGCTCTAGTTCTGCCCAACTCTGGCTTCAAAAACATGACAACTAGTTACTGAGGGCCCAAGGATAATGACCTTATGTGTCTTCTCCCTGCAGGTGCATCACCTGGATCATGAGGTCACCCCTCTGCTGGCTCCTCCCACTTCTCATCTTGGCCTCAGTGGCCCAAGGCCAGCCAACAAGACGACCAAGACCCGGGACTGGGCCCGGGCGCAGACCCAGGCCCAGGCCCAGGCCCACACCCAGCTTTCCTCAGCCTGATGAACCAGCAGAGCCAACAGACCTGCCTCCTCCCCTCCCTCCAGGCCCTCCATCTATCTTCCCTGACTGTCCCCGCGAATGCTACTGCCCCCCTGATTTCCCATCTGCCCTCTACTGTGATAGCCGCAACCTGCGAAAGGTCCCTGTCATCCCGCCCCGCATCCATTACCTCTATCTCCAGAACAACTTCATCACTGAGCTCCCGGTGGAGTCCTTCCAGAATGCCACAGGCCTGCGATGGATTAACCTGGACAACAACCGAATCCGCAAGATAGACCAGAGGGTGCTGGAGAAACTGCCCGGCCTGGTGTTCCTCTACATGGAGAAGAACCAGTTGGAAGAGGTCCCCTCGGCCCTGCCCCGGAACCTGGAGCAGCTGAGGCTGAGCCAGAACCACATCTCCAGAATCCCGCCTGGTGTCTTCAGCAAGCTGGAGAACCTGCTGCTCCTGGATCTCCAGCACAACAGGCTGAGCGACGGCGTCTTCAAGCCCGACACCTTCCATGGCCTCAAGAACCTCATGCAGCTCAACCTGGCCCACAACATCCTGAGAAAGATGCCGCCCAGGGTCCCCACCGCCATTCACCAGCTCTACCTGGACAGTAACAAGATTGAGACCATCCCTAACGGATACTTCAAGAGCTTTCCCAATCTTGCCTTCATTCGGCTTAACTACAACAAGCTGACAGACAGGGGACTCCCCAAGAACTCCTTTAATATCTCCAACCTGCTTGTGCTCCACCTGTCCCACAACAGGATCAGCAGTGTGCCCGCCATCAACAACAGGCTGGAACACCTGTACCTCAACAACAATAGCATCGAGAGTGAGTGGGGTGGGCCGGGGCGGGGCCGAAGGCAAGGAGGTTGGCTTGTGTAGCACTTCCACCCTCTCTAGGGAGACTCAGGGTGGGGTGGTATAAAAAGCATCCACTTTGGCACTGGACTTCAATTCATGGCCTTGCCACTTGCTATCTGGGTGACCTTGAAAAGATATTTGACCAGTCTGGGAAGTTTCCTCATCTGTAAAGTGAGAATGGTAACAATATCTTCTATCACAAAGGTGATATGAGGATGTAATAGTTTAATATGGAGAAAGTGCCCAGAATACCATACTTGGAGGGTCATAGGTTTTCTTCCTCCATTCTTCCTCAGCCCCAGTTCCTTGGCAACTGGATCTATAGGTAGGGTAGACATGGAATATACTCCTGGACATTCTGCTAAAAACAGAACAGAGACATTTAAATACCTATCCTGAAATGTCCTGGGTCTGCCCTCTGCAGAAACCTGCCCCTGTGGGAAGATGCTTCTTCCCAAGCCTGAGCCTGGGTTTTGATTCAGGGTATGCAACTGGTAAAAATGTGGCAGTCAGGAAAAGAAGGTCTGCATGCTGGTGCTTTCTGAATCTATCTGGAAGGGTGCGATGTTTAGGTGCACTTAAGGAAGAGTTTGCCTAAGTGACATTTACAGGGTTCTGGACTTGGAGTATCAATTGCAGCCCAGGAGAGGAGGCTGGAAGTTGCAGTTTTGCTTCAATCAAAAATTTCAGCTCGGAGCAGAGCATTAGCAGAAAGGTTTAGAAGTGAAATAATATTTTCTGGTCCTTGAACAAAATCAGCCTACATTCACAGAAGGGATGCAGCAGCAGAAGGGAAGAGAGGGATTGAGGGAAAAGAGAAGGACCCCTAGAATGATATTTGGGGATCCTTAGGTTCCAAACCAAAGAATGAGATGGAGATTGTTGGTGTCTCTACCGACACCAACAATGGGCGAATAGATCGTTCACTCATTTGGGATAATTTCAAGAAGTAGGGGAGGATTTTTTTTTTAATCTTACAAAAAAAAAATGGGAAAAGGGGAAGACTGTATAATTTTACCCTGGAGACAGCACACTAAAATAAAACACATTACCCCCAGGAAGCTATGAGGCCAAAATACAGACAGAAGGGATACCTTGATTAATAAATGGCTGATAGGTCTCTACCAGATTGTGGAAGAACAGGTTGCTGGAGGATATCCCAACCTTCTAAGGTTGAAGTCAGAGAACTCACACCTCACCCACATGAGCCCACCCCATCCAGCCTGTCTCCTGTGCCTTTTACCCGACAGAATGGGCTGAGTGGGGCCTAGGTCAGTGGGGTGATTACGTTCTTCACAATGACCATAATGCTGCCACTGGTACTGTCTTTAAACAGCTTACAAAATGCCTTTGCCAACATTCTCTCCCCTGATTACAGGGCAGGCACCACTCTTACCATTTCACAGATTGAAGAACTCAGCATGAGGGTGGCTAGGCCACAGCCCCAAGCTCATAAGAGAAAACCCCCGTGTCAGGGCCCTTCTGCTACTCCAATGGCAAAGAAGAAAGACGAGGAAAAGGAAGAGGAAGACAATTACAATGAAGATGATGCCTACTCTTCCTCCTCCTGCTCCTCCATAAATGATAAGTGAGGCAAGGCTTAGGGAGAATAAAACAGTTCATTTAAATGCTGGCATGCCTGGTGCCACAGGCATCCAACAAGATGTGATGGAGGAAATGGAATCTCAGGCCATGGACCCTTCAGAATCAGTAGGCTCATCATGTCCCGGGGGTTCCGGAGCTCTCCCCAGATCCTCTTTCCTCTTCCTGTCATCCTTATTTCAGTTACCATCTTTTGCCCATCCTCATGTCTCACATCCAATTCAAAGGAAAACCTGCAGAGTAATTTTCACATCCACCTACTGGCTTCAGATCTCACCTTACTCCATTGCTTCTCCACAGTGTAGCCGGATTATCTTTGTACAGCATAAACCTGAACATAGGGATCTCTAAGGACCCTTCCAGATTTAACGCTCCAGGATACCATGGTTCAAGTATCCTGTTAATAACATCGCTCTCACAAAGACAGTCCTGTTCACTGCCATTCCTCAGACCAGAGATCAAAAGCCTCTTAGTGAAAGCCTAACTACCTTCCCAGCTTACTCTCCTTAGTACATCACATTGGGCACTATTACTATTCCCAGATTCGCCCACAAGCAGAATTTTGGCCTCCACAACTTCATTCAAACAGATTCCTCTATCAGAACACCATCCCCCAGGTCTCCACCTGTTGTAATTCTACCTATTCTTGAAGGCCCAGTTCAAAATTTACTTCCAATTCTCTAGAGTTAACTTGCAATAACAGTTGTTGATCAATTCCAACTTAATTCATTTTACAAATGAGTAAACTGAGCCTGGAGGTCAAGGCAGCTCATCTATGATCACACATTCCCAAAGCTAGCCAGTTTCAGAGAGAAGTCTACAGTCCTTGCTCTCGGGTGTCTTCCCCCTTCCCCTTCCTCATCTTGGCCGCCAGCCTCCACTCCCTTCTGATTTCTCGTCTTCTTTTTCCGTAGAAATCAACGGAACCCAGATTTGCCCCAACGACCTAGTGGCGTTCCATGACTTCTCCTCGGACCTGGAGAACGTGCCACACCTGCGCTACCTGCGGCTGGATGGAAACTACTTGAAGCCGCCCATCCCGCTGGACCTCATGATGTGCTTCCGCCTCCTGCAGTCCGTGGTCATCTAGGCCCTACTCCGCCACCGGATCTGCTCTGACCGCACTTGAAGGCTGGGGCCCAGGCACCTGTGCCGGCCATTCGTTTTCTCTCTCTCCCTTTCTTTCTCCCAGCTTTGCCTCCCTTATCCCACCCTCGAGGCAGGGAAAAGCCATCTATTCTTCTGCAGCCTCAGGAGCGAGACTTCAAGGACTCAGTTTGGTTCCACCCAGTTGAAAGACACCCAGTGCACACCCAAACTCCTGGCCTTCTGTGGTTTCCCTTTGCTCCAGAAACACAGATGTGTCTAAAGACTTGGTGTCCCCTTCTCTCTCCTCCCCCACCCGCCACTCCTGGGTACATCTGGGCCGTGGACTATCTGATCTTGGTCCTGGCCGAGCAAACAGCCCGGAGGTAAGGTTCAGAAAGTCCCCCTGGGGACTCCTCCATCTTCGGCAGCTCTGGCTCAAAGAGGCCGAGAAACCCAGTTCTCCTGGGCCAAGGATCCCTTCTGGCAAAGCTGCTGCTCCGCCGCTTGGTTCCCCGGCACCAGACATCGCCCTGGCCCTGCTGGCCCGGGTATCGGGAAGGAGGAGCGAGGGAATGACGGAGGTAGGGTGCAGGGTCAGGGCTCCCGCAGGGGCCTGCATCTGGCCAGCAGGACACAGGGATGCGCAGGGCGCCCCCTTCTGTTCCAGGGTGAACATAGCACACGCCCTCCTGGCTGGGCCTCAGGAGGAACAGCCAAGGAGAAGAATGGCCCAAGGA